>NT_187386.1:0-150754 GCF_000001405.40 Homo sapiens | reverse complement strand
CGCGGAATTCAAGGCTGCAGTGAGCCGATTGTGCCACTGATTGTGGTTGCATCTGATTGTTGCCAGGGCAGTGGAGCTAGACCTTGTCTCTAAAACATAGACAGGCAGACAGACAGACAGACAGACAGAAATATATAAAGATATTCTCAAATACATTTCTGTTTTAAGTAATTTAGATTGTTTCCCTTTTCCTTAGTCTTGTCAGTTTTATTAATCTTTTTGAAGAACCAACTTTTGGTTTTGTTTTTTATTGTTTTTCTATTCTCTTTTCCATTTATCTCTGCCCTGATCTCTATTGTTTCCTTCCTTCTGCTAACTTTGGGTTTAGTTTTATTCTTCTTTTTCTAGTTTCTTAATGTGTAAACTTATGTTGTTGAATTGAGGTGTTTCTTTTTTTAATGTGTTTATAGCTATAAATTTCCTCCTTAGCACTCCTTTCACCACAACTCATAAGTTGTGTTTTTTTGTTGTTTCTTTGTTTTTTGAGACAGAGTCTCATTCTGTCACCCAGGCTGGAGTGCAGTGGTGTTAGCTCAGTGGTGCAACCTCTGCCTCCTGGGTTCAAGAAATTTTCATGCCTCAGCCTCCTGGGTAGCTGGGACTACAGGCACGTACCACCACTCCCAGCTAATTTTTGTGTTTTTAGTAGAGACAGGGTTTCACCATGTTGGCCTGGCTGAAATTGAACTCCTGACCTCTAGCTATCCACTCCCTCAGTCTCCCAAAGTGCTGGGATTACAGGTGTGAGCCACCACAACTGGCCACAGCCCATAAGTTTGGATATAGTGTGCTTTCATTTTCATTTGTCTTTAAGAATTTTATAATTTCTTTGTGATTTCTTTGATCCATTGGTTGTTTGAGAGTGTGTTGTTTAAATTCTACTAATTTGTGAACTTTTTTAAATCTTCTGTTATTGATTTCTAACTTTATCCTGTTGTGGTCAGAGAAGACACTTTGTATGATGTCTATCGTTTTAAATCTACTGAGCTTTTTTCCTTTTTTGGGACAGGGTCTCATTCTGTCAGTGGTACAATGGTACATTTTCTTTGTCATGAAGTACAGGCTGGAGTACAGTGGTACAATCTCTGCTCACTGCAGCTTCAACCTCCTGGGCTCCTAAGCAATTCTCACGCTTCAGCCTCCCAAGAAGCTGGGATCACAGGCACGCACCACCACGCCCAGCTAATTTTTGTATTTTTAGTAGAGATGGGGTTTCACCATGTTGGCCAGGCTGATGTCAAGCTCCTGGCTTCAAGCAATCCACCCGCCTCAGCCTCCCAAATTACTCTGGGATTACAGATGTGAGCCACTGCACCCAGCCCCTATTGAGAATTAATTTGTGATGTGTTATGTGGTCTATCCTGAAAATGTCCCATGTATACTTGAGAAGTATGTGTATTATGTTGTTGGGTAGAATATCCTGTGTATGTCTGTTAGGTCTAGTTGTTTTTTCAGGTGTTGTTCAAGTGCTGTATTTCCTTACTTATGTCTGGTCTGGTTGTTTTATTCATTTGTGAAATGAAGACAAGGGACAAAATCCTAAGACATCCCCCTTAAAAGGGAAGGACCACCCACAGAAAAGGACTGAGAGACCCCCAGAATCTATAGCTTAGCTAATTGATGGTCTTTCTCTCCTGAAGTTAGTAAAGAGTGGAAAAGATGACTCCTTCTTCAAACATGAAGAAAGCAATCTAAGTCTTCAAAGAACAGGAAGCATGAGAAAATATGACACCACCAAAGAAACAAAATGAAACTCCAGTGGCTGACTCCAAAGTCATGAAGATCTACAAATTGCCTGACAAAGAATTCAAATAATCATCTTAGGGTGACATCAGCAAGATGGCAGAACAGGAGGCCCTCCACTCACCTCTCCCCACACAAACAATGATCTGGCAGCCATTCATGGACAAAACTGCCTTTGCAAGAGTTTTAATATCCAGGCAGGAGGTGGCAAAACTCTAGCAAAGCCCAAAACCAAGGAGAGCTGCTTTGAGAAGGCAGGTCCACACACCAGTGACAGGTTCCCAGTTGCAGACTGAAAGCAGCTTTGTCCTCCTATAGACGTGGGTCCAGCTCCACTAGATCATGGTCTTGCAACTAGCCCCATCCACTAAGCACCTAGGAGGAACCATGACCATTTACGCCCCCAGTAACAGGCCTTCTAACCATGGTCCTGACTGCAGAAACTAAAGCAGCCCTGACCTGGCTTCAGCCCCACTCTACCACAGTCAGTCATGCCTGCCCAGGAATTCAGTGATGCCTTTACATGCCCTTGGTAACAGGCCTGCTGATCTCAGTCTCAGCTATGGACACTAAAGTAGCCCTGTGACTCCATTCCAGTCTTGCTTTGCCACAGTCTGGGCACAGTCCAGCCCATCCTGGGACCTGGTGAAAGACATACCATCCATTCTCCTAATAAGAGGACCACCAATCTTGAACCCAAATGTGGTCACCAAAGCTGTCCTGTGACTTGGCTCTAGCCCTGCTCTACTGTGGTCTGGAGGCAGTCCTGTCTTCCCATGGACCTACCTAGTAAACCAGCAGGAGCTCAATCTGGGACCCACAGGGAGCTATACCAGTCCATGCCCTTGGTAATAGGCCTGATATCTGAAGACTTGACTGTAGAACTAGAAGTGGCCCCATGACCTGGCTCCAGTCCTGTTCAATCAGGGTATCAGAGGCAGTCCAGTTCTCCTGAGGATCCAGCAGAAACTGCATCACCAACCTATGCCTTGATAGCGGCCTGCCAATCAGAGATTCAGCTGCAGACCAGGCAGCAGCCATGTGATATGGCTCCAGGCCCACTTGACTGTGATCCAGTCAAGGGATCCAGCAGGAAAAGGTTTGTACCTGCTGAAACCAATCTATAAAGACAGAAAGAGATTGGGCATGGTGGCTCACACCTGTAATCCCAGCACTTTGGGAGGCCAAGGTGGGCAGACCACTTGAGGCCAGGAGTTTGAGACCAGCCTGGACAACACGGTGAAACTCTGTCTCTACAAAAAATACAAAACAATTAGCCAGGCGTGGTGGCACATGCCTGTGATCCCAGCTGCTTGGGAGGCTGAGGCAGGAGAATCATTTGAACCTGGGAGGTGGAGGTTACAGTGAGCTGAGATCACGCCACTGCACTCCAGCTGGGTGACAGAGCAAGACTCTGTCTCAAAAAAAAAAAAAAAAAAAGAAGAGGTATTTGCTTCTTCATAGACATTAATGAAAGTCTGTAGATCATGAAGAATCAGCAAATATGACACTACCAAAATAAACTCATAAATCTCCAGTAATCAACCCCCCAAAAATAGAGATCTACAAATTGCCTGACAATTCAAAATAATTAAGATAGCTCAGTGAAATTTACTAGAATGTATATATCAACTCAATAATATCAAGAAAATAGTAGATGAACAAAGCTAAAAGTTCAATAAAGATACAGAAATAATAAGAACCAAACAGAAATTCTAGAACTGAAGAATACAATGAATAAAATGAAAATGCAAGCTGGGTGCCATGGCGGACACCTGTAATCCCAGCACTTTGGGAGGCCGAGGCAGGCGGATCACTTGAGGTCAAGAGTTCAAGACCAGCCTGGCCAACATGCCAAAACCCCATCTGTATTAAAAATACAAAAATTAGCCAGGCATGGTGGCATATGCCTGTAATCCTAGCTACTAGGGAGGCTGAGGCAGGAGAATCGCTTGAACCGGGAGGTGGAAGTTGGAGTAAGCCAAGATGGCACCACTGCATTCAAGCCTGGGTGACACAGACTCTGTCTCAAAAATATATAAAAATAAATAAATGAATGAAATGAAAATGCAATAGAGAATTTCAATTGCAGACTTGATCAAACAGAAGAAAGAATCTGTGAAATTAAAGACAGGACATTTGAAATATCCCATCAGAAGACCAGAAAGAAAAAAAAGTTTATAAGTAAAAACCTTTGGGATTTATAGGACACCACCATGAAGTGGGTCAAACATATTATGGACTTCCTAGAAGTAAAAAAGATAGAAAAGGCCTGAAAGTATATTTGAAGACATAATGGGTAAAAACTTTCCAAATTCTTAGAGGCAAGTGGGCTTCCAGACACATGAAGTTCAGAGGCCCCAAAAAAGGCCAGCCCAAAGACCATAATACCAAGATGTATTATAATTAAAATATCAAAAGTCAAAGACAGAGACTTTCAAAAGCAGCAAGAAGAAAGGAATTCATCACATACAAGGAAACTTCAATAAGGCTATCAGTGGATTTCTCAGCAGAAACCTTATAAGCCAGGAGAGAATAGGATGCTATATTCAATGTATTGGAAGAAAAAAACTGCCAATCAGGAAGACCACAACTTGTAAAGCTGTCCTTCAGAAATGAAAAAGAGATGATAAGGTCTTTCCCAGACTCCCACCAAAAAAATTCTAAGGGAGTTCATCACCACTGCACCTGCCTTATAAGGCAGTTTTTCAAGTTGAAATAAAAGGATTCTGATTAGCAACATTAAAACATTAAGATATTAAGTTCACAGGTAGGCCGGGCGCAGTGGCTCACGCCTGTAATCCCAGCACTTTGGGAGGCCAAGGCGGGTGGATCACAAGGTCAGAAGAGGGGGATCATGCTGGCTAACACGGTGAAACCCCGTCTCTACTAAAAATACAAAAAATTAGCCAGGCGTGGTGGCGGGTGCCTGTAGTCCCAGCTACTCGGGAGGCCGAGGCAGGAGAATGACTTGAACCCGGGAGGCAGAGCTTGCAGTGAGCCGAGATCATGGACACTGCCCTCCAGCCTGGGCGACAGAGCGAGACTCTGTCTCAAAAAAAAAAGTTCACAGGGAAAGGTAAGTATATAGTCACATTCATAACACTGTAATATTGCAGTGGTGGTGTGTAAATCACTTTTCACTGTAGTATAAAAGTTAAAATGTAAAAGTATTAGGCGGCCCGGGCGCGGGGCAGCTGCTGCGGGGAGGCGGGGAGGCGGGGGGCCTGGCCGGACACCCCTGCGCCCCCTCCCCGCACCCGGGCGGAGGGCGGCCTCTTCCCCCTCCCCCTCCCCCACCACCCCCGGCAGCCGCCTCCCCCAGGACGCAGGAGGCGGGCGGAGGCCGGGTCCGCGCAGCGGGCGACTTGCGGCATGGGCCGGGTCGAGGTGGGGGGGCGGTTTCGGGGGCTGGGAAGCTGGGGTGCCGGGGACAGGAGGGTGGGGGAGCTGGGGAAAGGAGGGCTGGGGGGCCGGGGACAGGAGGGCCATGCAGGCAGTGGCAAGCGGGCGGCGAGGGCTCCGTGGGGCAGGTGGACGGGGATCAGCGCCTGGGGCTGCTCCGTTCCCCAGGCGGGTGTCGTGGCTCTGGCCTCCATGCAACTCCAGGTCTGCGCGCCCCGCGCTGCTGGAGCCCCAGTCAAAAGTCTATTTAAAAAGCAGAGAGAGGATGCTTCCCTCTGAGTGGAGCGATGAAGACCTGATCCCTGGGCCATTTGGGAACACTAGCTGCCTTTCATCACAGTCAACCTGGACTCAGAGAATGTCAAGAGCTTGTTGGTTGGGTCAAGAATGAATCTAGGCATGACGTCATAGTTTATAGTCATCCTTTTAAACCTGCAAAGAAGCATTTGCAGGTTTAAAGTTATTTCACGGGTACTGCTTGCCAATCTTTGGAGGATGTGAAGCCTGCAGAGAAATAAAGTGTCGCCCCTCTGCGCGTCGCTCCCCATCTGCCAGAATGTTTCTCATGAATGCTCCTCCAGTGGTTGCTCTCCAGCGCAAATGGGTGGCCTCTGTCCCACCAGGGAGCTTTAGGTTCCCCGGGTGCTTCTCGGAGGCTGACAAGGGCGTGGAGAGCATGTCGGTGAGCACCCGGGTGCAGATGCTCATCAGCACGCTGCAGAGCGACAGGGCTGCTAGGGGCACCAGCGATGAGCGCACTGCGCAGAGGGGGCAGAGGGATGCCACGACGCCAGGCCTGCTGCCAAGCCCACCATGCACAAGGAGCTGCCTGCGTTGGCTGCCTGTGGTCTTGTTGCTGACTTTGACCCCGTGGGGGAGGAGGAAACTGCAGACTTTGGCCCATTGGTGCTAGATTCAGACAGTGACGATTCCGTGGACCGGGACATTGAGGAGGCCATCCAGGAGTACCTGAAGGTAAAGAGTGGAGCCGCACAGCCCGGGGCCAGCGGGGCCCAGCCATGCACAGCCTTCCAGGGCTGCAGGCGGAGGCAGTAGATGTAAGCCGGAACTGGCTCACAGCAGTGCCCAACTGCCCTGTGTTCCCCAAAACTTGTACCTGGCTCAGGTGGTGTGGCCCTGGCAGCCAGGTGGGATCCAGCAAGGACCAGGGCTCTGCCTCCCCAGTCAGCATGAGCAGAGCAGACTCCTTTGAGCAGAGCATCAGGGCAGAAATCGAACAGTTTCTGAATGAGAAAAGACAGCATGAGACCCAAAAATGTGATGGGTCAGTGGAGAAGAAACCAGACACACATGAAAATTCGGCGAAGTCACTCTCGAAATCCCACCAAGAGCCGGCTACAAAGGTGGTGCACCGGCAGGGCCTGATGGGCGTCCAGAAGGAGTTCGCCTTCTGCAGACCTCCCCCGGTTAGCAAAGACAAACGTGCAGCCCAGAAGCCTCAGGTCCAAGGTCACGACCACGCAGGAGAAGGAGGGCAGCACAAAGCCAGCAACCCCCACCGCCCTTCAGAAGCAGTACAGAATAAAAGTGGGATTAAAAGGAACGCCAGCACAGCAAGGAGGGGAAAGCGAGTCACGAGCGCCGTACAGGCGCCCGAGGCGTCCGACTCCAGCAGCGACGACGGCATTGAGGAGGCCATCCAGCTGTACCAGGTGCAGAAAACACGCAAGGAGGCCGACGGGGACCCGCCCCAGAGGGTCCAGCTCCAAGAGGAAAGAGCACCTGCCCCTCCCGCACACAGCACAAGCAGCGCCACAAAAAGTGCCTTGCCAGAGACCCACAGGAAAACACCCAGCAAGAAGAAGCCAGTGCCCACCAAGACCACGGACCCTGGTCCAGGGGATCTGGACGCTGACCATTCCCCCAAGATCCCAAAGGAAACCAAAGCTCCACCTCCAACGAGCCCGGCTTCCAGGAGCAAGTTTGTGGAATGGTCCTCTTGCCAGGCAGACACCTCCGCTGAGCTGATGTGTGTAGAAGCAGTCCTGGACATTTTCAAGACGATCCTGCCGGCCCTATGGAGGGCAGCGATGGGTCCCTGTCCGCAAGCCCACTCTTCTACTCCCCCAACGTGCCTTCCCGCTCTGATGGTGACAGTAGCTCCGTGGACAGCGACGACAGCATTGAGCAGGAAATCTGGACGTTTTTGGCCCTCAAGGTGCAGTCTAGAAGTTTGCTGGCCAGAGGTGAGAGCTGCCCTCAGGCTGCCCAGGGCCCACTTTCACCACCTGGCCTCAGCAGCCAGACCGGCAGCCCCAAGGCCCCTCTCTCTAAAACACTGGACCCACTCCTGGCTGCAAAAGGAAGCATAGAGGCGGCTGCCAAGTGAGGCCATCCACTCCCAAGAACATGCGGGTGGTGGGGAAAGAGGGTGGCCAGGATGCCGACCGCAGCCAGGGGAGAGCCGGGCCGGGCCATGAGGGGCGGGACCTTTCCATCCAGGGCACAGCCAGCGAGGCCCCGGGATGGGAGGGCGCCGCTAGGGTGGGACCTTTCCATCCAGGGCACAGCCAGCGAGGCCCCGGGAGGAGAGGGCGCCGCTAGGGTGCCCGGTGACACTCGCACGTCACAGGGCCAGGGTAAGACAGACGAGGCAAGGCACCTAGACAAGAAGAAGAGCTCCGAAGACAAAAGCAGTTCCCTGGACAGTGACAAGGACCTGGACACAGCCATCAAGGACTTGTTAAGGTCCAAGTGAAAGCTCAAGAAGAGGTCCAGGGAGCCCAGGGCTGTGTGCAGGAAGAAGGTCAGGTTCAGCACCTCCCAGACGCACTTCCAGGAGCAGCTGGGCAGGCTCCTGAGAGAGTGGAAAAACAGGCACCTGCAGGTGCTGAAGAGCTGCCTAAGTCCAAGAGAGACAGCTGCGAGGGCTCCAGGAAGAAACCCCCCAGTGTCTTTGGCAGCAGGGCCGAGAGGACGAAGCCTCGGCCTTCCTGGTGAGGAGACCCGCTTCTGCCTCCGCCTCCGAAGAGAATCTATTCCCCAGAGAGTCCCAGGGCCCAGCTCCCAGCCCTGGCTCCTTGTCTGACAACAGCAGTTCAGTGGACAGCGACGATAGCATCGAACTGGAGATTAGGAAGTTTTTGGTGGAAAAGGCCAAGGAGTCGGTGAGCAGTTCAGAAGTTCAGGCAGAGGGCCCCACCGCTCTCGGGACAGGGGGCCCAGCCAGGCCAGAGGTACCTTGCAGGAAGGAGCCGGCCCCACTGCCTGGCATGTGCACACGGAGCCAGAGGGCCGGGGGGTCCCACATTTGGCTAAAGGGCATCGAGGCGCAGGGAGCGCAGGAGCACAGGGCGCAGCGTGCCTGCTCAGCCAGGGTGGGAAGGGGCTCCCCACTGATCCGGCGGAGGGGATCATGCGCCACCCAGGAGGACCAGCGGCAGTGTCTCCGCCAAGGTCTCTCAGTGAGCAAGAGAAATGTTTACGTTTACAAAGACCAGAGCCCACGAGGGGCTGAGCCTGCTGCCAAAAGTGCTTTTGGTCAGCGGCCCAGCTGTGCCACAGCGGGCACCGAGGCAGGAGGAGCCAGGGGGACCTTTCACGTGGACTGCAGGAACCGGAGCTTCCTGACCCCCAGCCCGGGAGCTGAGAGGGATGCTGGAGCCCAGGCCAACCGCGCCCCGCCCTGGAGTGACTTTGCCCACCACAGTCGGCTGCCCAGCCCATGGGCACTGCGCTCCAAAGGTAGAGATGCGGCGTGGAGGGGGCGGCATTGGGAGAGAGAGACAAGGGGTCCGAGGGCCCCGCCCGGGGCCTGCCCAGCCTGCCCCTTGCGGGCTTCTCCCCGCTGCTGTCCACCCAGCTCTTCCACTTTGGAAAGGGTGTCTCCTGGCGGGGCAGGGAGACCGGCCTCTTCAGCCCCTACCTGGGGCTGCCTCTGCAGGGCCTGTCCTTCTCGGCCTTCAGGGAGTCCCAGGCCAGGCCCAGCCTTGTCTTTGGAAGCCCACACTTGCTGGCGAAGAAGGACTGCGATCACCGGCCAAGCAGGAAGGTACAGACGGGGCTGAGTTTGCACAACAGGAAGAGCTCTGGCTCGGAGGAAAGGATTTTAGACCTGAGGTATCCACGAAGGGTCAATCAGTAGAGTTGACCAGGACCAGGACACCTTGGGCAGGGACACCAGTGACTTCAGCAACACCTCCGCAGAGGTGTTGCTGCTGCAGTGGCGGCAGCTCAGTAGTGAAGGTATAAGACCTCGAGCTGTGGGTTCGCGTCCTGGGTTCCATGCATTCGTGGAAAGCGGCATAGCCGACGTGTATCTGTGCCTGTGTGTGATGGTTCTGTGGTTGCAGGGAGGGGAAACAGTCTGTTATACATAGTCTTGTATATATGTATACCAACACGAAACAATGCTTTTATTTAACAGATGTGTCCTGGTAAATATGATTTTTGTAGATTTTGTACATTATTTAAAGTGATGAAAAATGTTTTTGGAAAATACTGTTGGTCAATTTTGTAGGGTGTTCCTTAACTGCAGTTTTCTGTGTTCTGCATACAAGTCTTAGATTAGAAAACATTTGGTTTTTATCATCACAACCAGGTTTACAGGGACTCTGATGTTTTTTGGTTGGTTGCTGGTGAGAATGGCCAGCGCTGGCTGCAGGGGTAGCCTTAGGAAGGCCAAGGTGCCCTCCCCAGGAATCGCTCACATGCCCCAAAGTGTCCGTCAGGAAGTTCCTGGGACAGCACTTTTTATACAGAGGACACCCCCCCACCACCGCCTGGCTTCATGGTCCTTGGAGGCCAGAGCACATCTGAAAACTACAGGAACGGAAAACCAAACTCCGCATGTTCTCACTCATAAGTGGGAGTTGAACAATGAGAACACTTGGACACAGGGCAGGGAATATCACACACTGAGGCCTGTTGGGGGATGGGGGCAAGGGGAGAGATAGTATTAGGAGAAGTACCTAATGTAAATGATGGGTTGATGGGTGCAGCAAACCACCATGGCACATGTATACCTAAGTAATAAACCTGCACTTTCTGCACGGCTACCCCAGAACTTAAAGTATAATTAAAAAAAAAAAAAAAACAGAAAAAATAAGTAGAGATTAAACCAGTAATGAAAAATCTCCCAACAAAGAAAATCCCAGGACCAAATGGTTTTACTGGTCAATTTCAACAAACATTTAAAGAATTAATAACAATCCTTCTCAAACTCTTCCAAAAAAATTGAAGAAAAGGGAACACGTTGAAACTCATTCTAAGAGGCCAGCATTATCCTGATATCAATGCCAGATAAGAACACTACAAAATAAGAAAACTATAGGTCAATATCCCTGGTTAACATAGATGCAAAAATCCTCAATGAAATACTAGTAAACCAAATTCAACAGTGCATTAAAAGAATTATTCACCATGAATCCAGTCTCTACCAAAAATCCAAAAAAAAAAAAAATTAGCTGAGCATGCTGGCGGGTGCCTGTGGTCCCAGCTACTAGGGAGGCTGAGGCAGGAGAATGGCGTGAACCTGGGAGGCGGAGCTTGTAGTGAGCCGAGATCGCGCCACTGCACTCAGGCCTGGATGACAGAGCGAGACTCCATCTCAAAAAAATAAATAAATAATAAATAAATAAAAAACAAAAAAAGAATTATTCACCAGGATCAAGTGGGATTTATCTCTGGCATGCAAGGATGCTTTAACATACAAGAGTCACTAAATGTGATACACCACATCAACACAATAAACGATAAAAATCCTTTATTTTTATTATTAAAAAGCACTTGATAAAATTCAACATCCTTTCATGATTAAAAAAAACAACAAACTGAGCAAATTAGGTGCAGAAGGAATGTACCTCAACATAATGAAGACCACATGTAACATACTCAACAGTGAAAGACTGAACGTTTTTCCTCGAAGATGAAGAACAAGACAAGAATTCCTACTCTCACCATTTCTCCTCAAAATAGGACTGGAAGTCCTAGCCAGAACAATTAAGCAAGTAAAGAAATAAGAATGGAAGTAAAATGGTCTCCATAGATGACATATTTTTATGTATAGAAAACTGTAAAGACTTCACTAAAAGACTGTTAGAAGTAATAAATTCAATAAAGTAGCAAGATACAGAGTCAACATCCAAAAATCAGTTGCATTTCTATGCATAGATGGACTGGAGGGCATTATGTTAAGTAAAATAAGCCAGACACAGAAAGTGAAATATTGTACAATCTCACTTATGTGTGGAACCTAAAGACGTCAAACTCAGAAGAAGAGAACAGAATGGTGGTTGCTGGGAGCTGGGGAAGAGAAGGAAATGGGAAGTTGATGGTTAAAGTGTACAAATTTCAGTTATGCAAGATAAGTAAGTTCTGGAGAGCTATACAGCATAGTACCCACAGAAAATGATACTATATTCTTAAATTGTTTAATTAAAAACTTTTATTATTATTATTTTTTTTTAGACAGAGTTTCACTCTTGTTGCTAAGGCTGGAGTGCAATGGTGCTGTCTCGGCTCACTGCAACCTCCACCTCCCAGGTTCAAGAGATTCTCCCACCTCAGCCTCCCAGTACTTTGCTCAGATTATAGGTACCCGCCACCACGCCCAGCTAATTTTTGTATTTATAGTAGAGATGGGGTTTTGCCATCTTAGCCAGGCTGCTCTCCAACTCCTGATCTCAGGTGATCCGCCTGCCTCAGCCTCCCAAAGTGCTGGGATTACAGGCGTGAGCCACCGCACCTGGCCATTAAAAACATTTTTTTATACAATAATAATAATAAAGAGGCAGAAGGAAATTTTAAAAGGTGATGGATATGTTTATAGGCTTGATGATAATGGTTTTATGGTGTAAATTTATCAAGATGTGTACGTTAAATATGTACAGTTTTTATGTAAATCATTCCTCAACAAAATGGTTTAAAAAGTAATAAAGTAATTACTGATAAGGGGGGACTTACTTCTGGCATTTTGCTATACATTTTCTATATGCCTTACAGCATTTTTGTCCATTTCCTGCATGATCTCATTTGTATTTAGTTGATTTTTTGTAGCGAAGTGTTTTAATTCCCTTCTCATTTACTTTTTTATGTTATATAATGTTTTATTTGTGGTTACCATAGGGATTACACTTAACATTCTAAAGTTATAGCACTCTAACTTGAATTCATACCAGCTATATTTCAATAATATGCAAAAACTCTCCTCACAGTTTTGCCACTCCTCTTTCAGTTATCAATGTCACAAAATTACATTTTTGTACATTGTGTGTCCATAAACATAAACTAATAATTGTTTTTAATGCATTTGTCTATTAAATTATGTAGAAAGCAAAACATGGAGTTTTAAACCAAAGTTACGATAATACTAGATTTAATATTTTCCCATATATTTACTTTTACTGGCATCTTTATTTCTTCATATGGCTTTGAGTTACTATCTAGTGTTCTTTCTTTTCAACCTGCATGATTCTCTTTAAGATTTCTTGCAGGGCAGGTCTAATGGTAGCAAACTTCTCAACTTTGGTTTATTTGGGGATTTCCCAATTTCTTCCTCACTTTTGAAGGACAGTTTTGCTGGATATAGGATTCTTGGTTGAGAGGTAGTGGTTGTTTTTCTTTTAGCCCTTTACATATGTCATCCCATTGTCTTCTGTTCTCCAAAGTGTCTGATGAGAAATCTACTTATAATCCTATTATATATTCCTAGCATGTGACTAGTTGCTTCTCTCTTGGTGCTTTCAAGAGGCCCTACTGGCTAATTATAATGTCTCAGTATGAGTCTTTTTTTTTTCATCCTACTTGGAGTCCATTGAGTTTTCTGGATATTTATTTTCATGTCTTTCATCAAATTTGGGAAGTGTTCAGCTTTTTTTTTTTCTTTTTTGAGACAGAGTCTCGCTCTGTTGCCCAGGCTAGAGTACAGTGGTGTGATCTTGGCTCACTGCAACCTCTGCCTCCTGGATTCAAGCGATTCTTCTGCCTCAGCCTCCTGAGTAGCTGGGACTACAGGTACGTGCCACCACGCCCAGCTAATTTTTTTTTTTTTAAACGGAGTTTCACTCTTGTTGCCCAGGCTGGAGGGCAATGGCACAATCTCGGCTCACTGCAACATCTGCCTCCTGGGTTCAAGCGATTCTCTTGCCTCATCCTCCCAAGTAGCTGGGATTACAGGCATGCACCACCACACCTGGCTAATTTTGTGTTTTTAGTAGAGACGGGGTTTCACCATATTGGCCAGGCTGGTCTCGAACTCCTAACCTTGTGATCCACCCACCTTGGCCTCCCAAAGTGCTGGGATTACAGGTGTGAGTCACCGTGTTCAGCCTCAGCCATTATTTCTTCAAATGATCTCTCTGCCCCTTTCCCTCTCTTCTTTTGGGACTTCCACAATGTCTGCTTGCTATTCAACAATCGTCTTTATTTCTGTTCCTCTGACTTGATCATTTCAAGTGTCCCATCTTCAAATTCACTGAATCTTTCTTCTGTTGCTCAAATCTGCTTTTGAATCCCTCTGGTGAACTTTTATTTCAATCACTACACTTTTAGTTCCAGAATTTATTTATTTTTTTTCTTTTTAGGTTTTCTATCTCTTTATTGATATTCCCATTTTGTTTACACATAATTTTACTGACTTTCTCCACATCTTCCTTCAGTTCTTTGACCATCTTTAAGAAAGTTGTTTTAAAGTATTTGTGTAGTAGGTTACCATCTGGTCTTTCTCTGGAACAGTTTCTGTTGTTGTTTTTCCTTTGAAATACCATATTTTCTTGTTTTTTGTATGCCTTGTGTTTTGTATTGAAAACTGGACACTTGAATATAATAATGCAGTAACTCTGGAGATGAGACTCTCCTCTTCCTCAGGGTTTGCTGTTTTGGGGTTTTGTTATGTTTTACATTGTTGTAGGTTGTCTCCATGCTGAGGATCAACCTGAGTTGTAAGCTTGAGGTCTTCTCAGGTCTGAAGCTGCTCCTTTCCCTGGGCACACACTCCTCTCTCCAAGGATGTGTGGTAACTTTAATTTCCTCTGGGTATGCCATTGCTTTTGAGTGTCCTAGTCTTTAATGTTTGGCTCCCAAAAAAGGAAAAGAGAACAACGAAGGGGAAGGGAAATGGGGTTCTGGCCTTTTCTATCTCCTAGAAGTTGCTTCAGTCTGGTAAGGGCTTGCAGCAGTGGAGTGGGGAGTTGTGAGCAATAATGGCTGCCGGCCTCTGTGTTTGCCCTTCCATAATCAAAAGTAGCAATCAACAACCAGAACGCAGATGCTAACACTTGGAGGACAGAGTGCTTATTGCCCATGATTGTTCCCACAAGCTTGGTACAAGCTGCTTCAGGAACACATGCAAAGCTTCTTGCCGTGAAGCTGGGGCATGGGGATTGGGTAGCCACTGCTGAGCTAAGAGCTGAAATTGACCAAAATTAAGTAAAAATTATAGTTTAAGCCTTCATTTGGAGGTTACAAGCCTCCTTTGATAGAGTCTAGAGTTCCAAAATAGTTATATCAGGCAGATTCTGCCAGTGTGATTATTTTCTAGGTGGGGAGATGAATTCCCAGTGCTTCCTACTCCACTTTCTTCCCAGAACCCTCTCTTGTAATAGTTTTTTACTTAAAACCTATTTTGTCTATACTTTTTTTTCCATATATTTACTTTTTATTGAATTTGTTAACGTTACAGAGTTCTTGCACTGCCAAACCATGCCTGAGAATTCAAACAAATGGTACAATGGACAGCCTCATCCACCCATCATACAGTATATTAAAACTTGATTCATCTATATTTTGATATTTTCACAATCTTTTAAAAAGTTATAATAAGAGCTGGAATTTAAATCTGCTGCAGGTCTTCAGATTTTGAGTACAGTATGCCTTTACATAACACCTCCACTTACTCATCTCTGTTCATTCTTCAGTAACATAAACCCCAACAACTTGTACAGCCATAACTTGTACAGCCATTCCTGATCTGTTTTGGTTACTTTTTGCACGGAATATTCTCCATTCTCTCATTTTTCAACCCATTTGTATTGGATTTCAAATGAGTCTCTTGTAGACAGCATATATAGTTGAATCCCGTTTTTTTAAATCCAATCAGCCAATTTATGTCTTTTTATTGGGAGTTTAACCTATGCACATTTAATGAAATTATTGATTAGGAAGGACTTACTACCACCATTTTGGTCATTGTTTTCTGTATGTTTAGAGCCTTTTTGTCCTTCTTTCCTCCCTTATTGTCTTCCTTTGTGTTATAGTTGATTTTTTGTAGTGCTATGCTCTGATTTCCTTCTCATTTCCTTTTGCATATATTCTGTAGGTATTTTCTTTGTGGTTACTATGGGAATTACATGGAACATCTTAAAGTTATCTTATTATTTTAAACAGATAACTTCAATCACATACAAAACCTCTACTCTTTACATCTTTGCCCCACTATTAAGTTACTGATGTCACAAATTAAACTTTATATACTTTGTATCCATTAACATAGATTTATAATTATTATGCTTTTGTCCTTTAAATTCCATTAAAGTATTAAAAATTGAGTTATTAGCAAAAATTACAATAATACAGGTTTTAATCTTTATGTATTTACCTTTATATTTTCATCAGGCTGAGCAACTGTCTAGTATCCCTTCATATCAACTTGAAGGACTCCCTTTATTGTTTCTTTTTTTTTTTTTGAGATGAAGTCTCGCTCCGTTGCCCAGACTGGAGTGCAGTGGTGTGATCTCAGCTCACTGCAACCTCTACCTCCCGGGTACAAGTGATTCTCCTGCCTCAGCCTCCTGAGTAGCTAGGATTACAGGTGCGTGCCACCACACCCAGCTAATTTTTGTATTTTTATTAGAGATGGGGTTTCGCCATGTTGGTCAAGCTGGTCTTGAACACCTGACCTCAGGTGATCCACCTGCCTCGGCTCCCGAAAGTGCTGGGATTACAGACATGAGCCACTGTGCCCGGCCCCTTTATTATTTCTTATTGGTCAGGTCTAGTGGTAATAAACTCCTTCAGCTTTTATTTATCTGGGAATGTCTTAATTTCTCCTTCACTTTTGAAGGACAGTTTTGTCAAATATAGTATTCTCAGTTGGCAGGCTTTACTCTTTCAGTACTTTCAATGTATCATCCCACCACCTTCTGGCCTGCAGGGTTTCTGCTGAAATATCCACTGATAATCTTCTAGAGGCTCCCTTGCACATGAGAAGTCACTTTTCTCTTGCTGCTTTTAAGGTTCTCTCTATACTTACTACCACTAAATTCTACACTTAAAAATGGTATAATCTGTTATGTATATTTTGCCACAATAAAAACATTGGAAAGAGGTACCATAGAAGAGTATATTACATGCACCATAGGCTGGAAAACATTTTCAGAGATTAGGCTATTCTCAGTAACTCACATATCTAGTTCTGGTAAACACTGATTGATTTAAACAAATATCAATGAACAAAGTATTACATGCACCGCGTGCAGCTAAACAGTGTTTCGCTGACATAACACTAGTACCTAGATCTGATAAACTATCTAAACAGGCATCACTGAAACTATGCTACAGAAAACACAGAATGCTAACCACAGTATTTCCAAGAGTCTACGCTACACCTAGGCAATCTTGCACCTATCTCTGTTAAACACAGGGTTTGAACTTGGAACAACAAAGAATGTAGTACCTGCACCACACACTTCTTAAAACAGGGTTTTGGCCGGGTGTGGTGGCTCACGCCTGTAATTCCAGCACTTTGGGAAGCTGAGGCAGGAGGATCACCTGAGGTCAGGAGCTCGAGACCAGCCTGGCCAACATGGTGAAACCCCGTCTCTACTAAAAATACAAAAATTAGCTGGGTGTGGTGGCAGACGCCCGTAATCCCAGCTACTCAGGAGGCTGAGGCAGGAGAATCGCTTGAACCTGGGAGGCAGAGGTTGCAGTGATCCAAGACCACACCATTGCACTCCAGCCTGGGTTGCAAGAGCAAAACTCCATCTCAAAATAAATAAATAAATAAATAAACAGGGTTTCATAGGGAAAACACTATGCTAAGTCATTCACAAACCTATTTCTAATAAACACAGATAGTGAACATGCATTAAAGAAGGCTATCTTAGATGAGCCACACCCTGCTAAACACATCGATTCTCAAAGATAATGCAAGGCTCATTCACTCATGGTAGACCTAACTGTTAAACTTAACATTTAAATATGTATCACAGAAGATGGTAGTACCTGAACCTCATGCTTCTAAATGGAATGCTTCACCAAGGTAGCATTATTCTCAATCACTCATGCATCTGCCTCACTTCAGTACGGAGCAAATATGTATCAGTGAACAACGTGCCACGTGCGCTATACACGGCCAAACACAGTGGCTCATACAGTTAACACAAGGTGTGGTCAATCACTGACAGAATGGGAATGAGGAATGTGTCCCACTCTCTCAGCTGTTGTATTATATCATACAAGGTGCAGTGACTAAGTTCATTCATGAACCCAGCTCTCTTAAACACAGAAATTAAACACATATATGGGATACAGCACACAGTGTGATTTGTGTCTGCATCTCCCTCGTGCATGTTGTATATTTCATATAATGTAGGTACAAAATGTAACTTTGGTCTTCACCCGCATCAGCTATCATCTATCACAGGTTACATAGCGACATAATACAACTCAGTTCTGCATCCCCCTCTGCTATCATATGGTATCATGTGTGACAATGTGACCCGAGGTGAGTAATGACTATCCCCTCTCACCTGCTGTATGGTGTCATAAGTGACATTTGTGACTCACATACACTGTGAATCAGGCCCGCAACCCTTCTGTCAGTTGTTGCATGATACTGTATGTGCCATAGTGACATAATGCAACTGAGGTCTGGGCTCCTTGATGTCATATAATATCATAAGTGACATGGTGTGAACAAGGCTGCCTCCCCCTCTTGGGTTATCATTGGCTATCATATAGGACATAGTGATACAAAGTGACAAGTGTGTGTCCCCCTCAAGTGTTATATATCACATGTGACATAGAGTAAGGTGAGCCTGAGTCCTTCTCTTGGTTGTCCTAGATTATTTTATTTTATTTTTTTGAGATACAGTCTCACTCTGTCCCCAAGGCTGGAGTGCAGTGGTGCAATCTCAGCTCACTGCAACCTCTGCCTCCTGGGTTCAAGCAATTCTCCTGCCTCAGGTGCCTGAGCAGTGGGGACCACAGGCGTGCACCACCTCACCCAGCTAATTTTGTATTTTTAGTTACACAGTAACAAATGTGACTGAGGTCTACCTGCGCTCTCAGCTGATGCTGGCACCTTTATTGCCTAGGTGTTTAATGCTTCTCAGGTCTGCATCCTATCTCCCGTCACACACTCTCATATGCTATGTAGGATGAGGACACAGCTGACACACTTAGTCACTGCACCTTGTATGATATAATACAACAGCTGAGAGAGTGGGACACATTCTTCATTCCCATTCTGTCAGTGTAACATAGCATATAGCAGCTGAGAACGGGGTACATCCCTGACTCACATGATGTCACAATGTCACATATGATATCATAAGTCATCCAGTGGGCTAGGCACGGTGGCTGACACCTATAATCCCCACACTTTGAGCCTGCCAAAGTGCCTTTTTTTGTGCCTTTCACATAAAGACTATGACACAGCTAAGCTATTCATGTACTAATAAATACCTGCCCTGAGCTGTGTGACCACGGACACCACCCTATAATATGGCCAGTGTGTAGGAACTCTGCAGGCTCAGATCATTCCAGACATACATGCAGATGTTGGAACTCCCTTGCACAGTGACTCATGATCCCAAGGCTGAGTGCTGAGGGCAGGTCAGTAGTTCAGAGCCTCAGCATTGGGGCCGTATGCTTGGGTTCCCATCTTGGCTCCCACACTTTGGGAGCCCGAGGTGGGTAGATCGCTTGAGCTCAGGCATTCGAGACCAGCCTGGGCAACATGGTGAAACCCTGTTTCTACTAAAAATACAAAAATTTGCCAGGCGTGGTGGTGTGTGTCTGCATTCCCAGCTACTCAGGAGGCTGAGGTGGGAGGATGGCTTGAGCTGAGGAAGCAGAGGCTGCAGTGAACTGCCCTGCTGAGAGTGGAGCTCCTGCTCAGCTCCTAGGAAGGCAAGAGCCAGCAAGGCCACTGCCCAGGCCCCCGAGGGTTCTAGGGGGTCCCATCCCTGGGAAGGTGGAATCTGGGAGGTGAGGGGGACCTAGGACCCCATTGTGTGCACAGCTTGGGCTAAGGCATGAGATAAGACCAGGGTGACAGTACAGGAGTATCCAAGAACTGACTTCACCTAACTTCTGCATTTGACTTCCCATCCCCAATGTGGGTAGGGCCCTGCCCTCTGGCGATTGGAAAGAGGCGCAGGGTGCAAAGAAGTCCCCTCCTCTGACCTCCTGCAGGGCTCCATCTTGGCCTGGATCAGCAGGGGGGCCTGGGCAGGAGGGAGGCTGTGGTCTTGGGATGGGGTGGCAGTTCCAGGCCCACAGCGGGGCAAGAGACATCCTACACCTTCCTCCCATCCTTGCCCCGAAAGTCATGGGCGCTGGGGTTCAAGGTGCCCTCACTATTTGACCTTTCTTGCTGGTGGCTTTGGTGTGTCATTCTGGTCCCCAGCCTCTGTTTCCTGGACTGTAAGTGGGGATAATAATAGGTCACCCCTCCCCTGCAGGATTAACCTCAGCGATTGTTGCTGGCATCAGTGCAGCCCTGGGACCAGAGCACACCTGGGTGAGTTTGGAGCGCTCCCGCTCTTCCTGGTGGCCCTGCCTGGGCACCGACCCCTCCCATCCTCTCCTCAATAGCCACGCCCCTAGCCCAGCTAGCTAATGAATAAATATGTAGCAGCCAGGCCAGCATCCTGGCTCCGCGGTCTAGCCACTTTCTAGTCCTTCCTAGCTGCGGCTGCCACTGAGCCACGCACGCCCCTGGCATCATGCTCGCCTTGCAGTGCAGCTGGTGTGGTGCAGACTCTGAGAGTGAGCACCAGGACTCTTCCCGTCTGGTCTCCAATCTACCCTCTTGCCATGCTCCACCACCCCTTAGGTCTTGCCACTGGGAGTGGGGAGGGACTGGGGAGAGAAAATACTGGGGTAGGGGTGACAGGAGAGAAGGTTCTTCACTGGCCTCCCCTGGCCTAAGCCCCTGGCCTACTTCATTCTTCCACCCCAGTTGATGGGATGGGGCTTGGAGAGGGCCCAGATGACTGGTCTCTCAGCTCAGCCTCCTGCCCACTGTCTCTATAGGTGCCTGGTGCTACGACTCCCAGGACCCCAAGTGTGGTGAGGACAGAGTGTCATGTGAGGCTGAGTGACATCAGTCTGTGTCCTGGGACCACCAGACACCATAATACATATTATGTAATATGTATGATACATATTACAGAATAAATGACATATATAATATATGATATATATTACATATAATATATGACATATATTACATATATGTGACATATATTACATATAATATGTGACATACATTATATGTAATATATGATATATAATATATAGTATATGATATAAAATATATAATATATGATATATAAGATATATAATATTATATTACATATAATTATATTATATTATATATATTATATATATCATAATATATTATATGATATATTATATATATCACAATATATTATATATTATATATAATATATATCATAATATATTATATATTATATATAATATGTCATAATATATTATATATTATATATAATATGTCATAATATATTATATATTATATATAATATATAATAATATATTATATATTATATTATTATTATAAAATATATAATACTATATAATGTTATATATAATATAATATTATATAATAATATAAAATATATTAGATTATAATATATATTATACTATAACATATTGTATAACATATGATAATATAATATATATTATATATTATATTGTATAAAATATTATATTATGTATAATATATAATATTTTATATAAAATATTATATAATATATAGTATAATATATTATATAAAATATTATGTAATATATATTATATATTATATATTATTATCTTGTATATATAATTATATAATTATATATAATTATATATATTATAT
Source organism: Homo sapiens (assembly GCF_000001405.40). Lineage (NCBI taxonomy): Eukaryota > Metazoa > Chordata > Mammalia > Primates > Hominidae > Homo > Homo sapiens. The sequence continues at coordinate 129,537 of NT_187386.1, read as the reverse complement.
TATATGTAATAATTATATATAATTATATATTATATCATATGTAATAATTATATATAATTATATATTATATTATATGTAATAATTATATATAATTTATGTATTATATTATATGTAATAAATACACATAATTATATATATTTTATTATATATAATATTATATATAATTGTATATTATATTATATATAATAATTATAGATTATATTATATGTAATAATTATATTTTATATTATTTTTAATATTAATTAATATTAATTAATAATAATTAATTTAAAGTATTATTATTTTATATATTATATATAATATTATTTTATATTATATATTATATTATATATAATATTATATATTATATTATATTATATATTATATTATATTATAATATATAATATAATATAATATATTATTATATTATATTACATATTATATTATATATACGTATATATAATATATTATGTATACTTATATATAATATAGTATATTATATATATTTATATATAATATAGTATATTATATATATTTATATATAATATATATTATATTATATAGAATTATATAGAATTACATATTATATTATATAATTATATATATTCATATATATTATATTATATATAATAATACATATTATATTATACATAATATTATATATAATATAAGGATGCAGGATGTAAAAGGAAATTATGTATATGTTATATATATTATATATATTATATTGTATATAATTATATATATATTATATTGTATATAATTATATATATATATATTTGTGGGTGCCCTATTTCCCATCTCATAACTTATTTTAAGAAGCCAGCATAATAATGTGTGGGCTTGGGATTCAGTTTTTGAAAGAAAACACTGAGCCTTTGATGACCTTCCTGTACTTGTAAAAGCCCTCCTGTCTGCATGGCAGCAGTTGGACCTCACAGTGTGGATTGTGCCTTCACCCTGGAATGTTTATGCCCTATCGCCATGGTGATGGGATTAGGGATCTCCTGCCCTTGGTCCTAAGTGCCAGTATCTGTGCTGAGTTTTACAAAGGTCAGAGCAGATTGAACCATTGTGGTTTCATTTTCCCTGATTTTGATTTTTCTTATGGGGAACCTGTGTGGCTGCATTCAAGGTATGTTCATACTGGCCTGTCAAATGCGATCTTTTCAAATTACTAGTTAATGCTTTCAAAATGTGTTATTTAAAAAATTAGCCTCTGTATTTTCCATATGCAGTTATAAATATGTTTCATGATTATGTTTTATTCCTCAATTTATATATTTGATTATTGTACCAAGCAGAGTATCTTTGAAATTTTTCTTCATTTAAAAAATATGTATCTTGACTCAGGCCTGTAATCCCAGCACTTTGGGAGGCCAAGGCAAGAGGATCACAAGGAGAGGAGATCAAGAGCACCCTGGCCAATACAGTGAAACCCTGCCTCTACTACAAATACAAAAAATTAGCCAGGCATGGTGGCAGCTGGTGTAGTCCCAGTGTGAATTGGGATTCAGTTTATTCCCAAATTCCCAAATTTTATATATATATATATATATATATATATATATATATATATATATATATATAATATATTAAATATATTATATATATACTACATATTATATTATATATAATTATATATATATATATTTGTGGGTGCCCTATTTCCCATCTCATAACTTATTTTAAGAAGCCAGCATAATAATGTGTGGGCTTGGGATTCAGTTTTTGAAACAAAACACTGAGCCTTTGATGACCTTCCTGTACTTGTAAAAGCCCACCTGTCTGCATGGCAGCAGTTGGACCTCACAGTGTGGATTGTGCCTTCACCCTGGAATGTTTATGCCCTATCGCCATGGTGATGGGATTAGGGATCTCCTGCCCTTGGTCCTAAGTGCCACTATCTGTGCTGAGTTTTTCAAAGGTCAGAGCAGATTGAACCATTGAGGTTTCATTTTCCCTGATTTTGATTTTTCTTATGGGGAACCTGTGTGGCTGCATTCAAGGTATGTTCATACTGGCCTGTCAAATGCGATCTTTTCAAATTACTAGTTAATGCTTTCAAAATATGTTATTTAAAAAATTAGCCTCTGTATTTTCCATATGCAGTTATAAATATGTTTCATGATTATGTTTTATTCCTCAATTTATATATTTGATTATTGTACCAAGCAGAGTATCTTTCAAATTTTTCTTCATTTAAAAAATATGTATCTTGACTCAGGCCTATAATCCCAGCACTTTGGGAGGCCAAGGCAAGAGGATCACAAGGTGAGGAGATCAAGACCATCCTGGCCAATACAGTGAAACCCTGTCTCTACTACAAATACAAAAAATTAGCCAGGCATGGTGGCAGCTGGTGTAGTCCCAGTGTGAATTGGGATTCAGTTTATTCCCAAATTCCCAAATTATATATATATATTATATATATATATATAAAAAATATATATATATAAAATATATATATAATGTATTTAATATATTATATATAATATATTATATATATTATATATAATATATTATATATAATATATATAATATATTAAATATAATATATATAATATATATAATATATTATATATATTATAGATAATATATATTATATAATATATAATATATATTATATATTATATATTATATATTATGTATATAATATATAATATATAATATATAATATATATTATATATTATATATTATGTACATTATATATTATTTATATATATTATATATAACATATAATATATATAATAAATAATATATATATTATATATATCATATAATATATAATATATATAATATATATATAATTTCCTTTTACATCCTGCATCCTTCAACGTTCCATTCCCCACCCCACAGATTAAGTTATTCCCCAGGGGAGAATATGGCAGAGTCTATTTTAATGCAGTTTTTAACCCAATTAAGAACCTACGAAATCATTACTTTCCAAAACTTTGGAACAAAGCCGCAGTAGTATGGATCCGTTGGAGGCTTTTCACACAATAAAATGTACCTCTCTTTGTTTTTAACATGTTTTTCCCTTCCTCTCTTCTTTTTTTGTGAAATGTGTATTTACTTTATTTGTAGTAAGTCACTTCCATGCACATATTAATTTTTTAAAGTAATAAGTATGTGTATTGTCTACGTGTGAAATAAAACACACATTTATTTTTATGCTTTGGAAGTTATCCAGAATCATGGAATTCTCAATCACAGTCAATCACCCAACCTACTCACCTTTCCAGTGTAATCTTAGTCAAATTTTTTTTTGTTATCCAATGAGATGCAGTATTTCAACTCAGAAAGATAAATAGAGTGAATTTATAGAGACTATTAACTAAGAACATACAGTTTTATTTATACTCAGAAGCAAGTAGATTATGTACATATATATGAAGATAAAAATTAAAAGGATAATTGTGTAAATTTGCATGTAGAGGGCTTTGAAAACCTGTTTACTTGTTAATGCCGTTTTGATGTATTGTGTCTTTGTTCTCCCGACCCATCATCCAGAGCTCTCTGCAGGAGCTAAGTGCTCATCAGTTCCATGACTTGGAAACTAAGTTTAGAGGCACTTGTATTTGTTAGTAAATAAGGCAAGATGATATTGTTTCACAGGTTTTAGTGCCGAAGACTGAATAGATATGCTGCTCCACCCAGTACACTGGTGTTCATTTCATGGTCATCTCATCTGTTAACCATGGATATAAAACATTTATCTTCAATGATGGGGTTTTACCATGTTGGTCAGGCTGGTCTCGAACTCCTGACCTCAAATGATCCACCCACCTCCACCTTCCAAACTGCTGGGATTACAGGTGTGAGCCACTATGCCTGACTGATTATTTTCATAACCAAGAAAAGAAATAAATACAATTAATGCTGGTGCATGGTATTAAATCTAGTTTTTAAAAAATTCACACATAAACGAGGCAGAACCCTATACCCTCCATGATAAATGCAGTAGCAGTGTATGTGGGTCTGTGGAGGTTGAAAGGGACTTGGTAGATGTCAAGAAGGTAGTGGCAGTCCTGCTGGGCTTTTAAAGGGTCTGAAGAAGTGACAGGATGCTGTGGTTGAATCCTAGCATGTATTTTAGCATTTGTTCATTTGGAGTTGATTATTTCACGTTGCTTTCATTTGCCATTACCTGGAAAGCCAAGGGCTCTACTCTCATTTCCTTGCTGCTCTTTCTTTGCCTTCCTTGGTCCGTGAAGAAGATGGTCCAGGAGAAGCTCATTCCATGCTTGTTAACCAGGCACGCCCCTAAGTTCCAGTCCCTGAGTCATTCATGAGTAGCACTGCCAATGAACTGACAGCCATGCTGTGTCCCTCCACATCCCCTAGGTGACTCGAAGAAGCCTTCCAAAAAGCGTGTGAAAAGGAAGCCCTACTCTACTACCAAGGTAAAGTAGCCTGTCTTTGCCTAAGATGTAAATGTTGTTTTCTTGGATCCTTTATTTTTCAGTTGATATCAGCTATGGGAAAATTATCCACTACATTATAGGTGTTAGATAATATTTCCTTGGGGATGGAGGAGGTGTATTTTACCAACTGACACCTGATTCCAGAGGACGTGCAAAATTGGCAGTGTCAGATAGTACACTGGGTGTTAAGGGATGTTTTCTTCAGGAACAAGCTTTCCACTTTAGATAAGAATTCTGCAATTGCTACTCAAAAATTACCTAGACAGAAACATTCTTCAAGAAAAGCTCCTGTGCTTTCCTAAGGGAACTCTACTCTAGAGTTGGGGCTTTTGACTTGAACCTTATTTCCAATCTTGGTTACCCAGAGTTTCCAAGTGAACAAAAGACCTGTGTGAGCCATCCATAGCATAGCCTGATTCTCAGAGTGTTTTCCTTCTCTAATTACAGGTGACTTCAGGGAGCACATTCAATGGTACGTATTCTGGAATCACTCACTGGTTGTTAGAAAAGGATTCTACAGGAAATCTGGAGCTTAACTGCTGGCTTTTGTCTGGAGAGCCTCCATGATCCAAGACATCTGGTGGGAATGAGGATGTAGGGTATAGTAAAAGAAACTGGTTTTCCTGGTGACATACTCTTTTTATCTATGTATAGTTTCTGGGAACATGTTCACATTAGGTTGTGTGTGGGTATGTGTGTATTAGGGCGGGGGTGGGGTGAGGTGGTCTGTGTGCAAGTCTGCATGATTTGCTTGTGAATGTGTGTCTATCTGTGTTTCCCCCAGGAAAAAAATGTTGTGTTTACCCAGCACAACTCTCAGTGCCATTTTTCTTAATTTAACAAATCAGACCACATACTTTACTTACATTAGTTCACACCTCATCATCATCATGCCCATATGTTGTGAGCTTGTTTATTGAGCCCACATGCCAGATGGAGAAACTAAGCCACATAAATAAATGTGCTCTGGTTCACTTGCTGCATAGTGAAGAGTCAAAATGTTTCCTCATACGGTGCTAATGTTGAAGGCCTGAACTACAACCTCTATTTATCAGCCAGTGAAGAGATCACTATTCACCATGCAAGGGAGTTCCAGCACCCTCTATGCCTGGAATTACCCACACCTGCAGAGATCCCAAATGCCATCCCTCACATAAGAGAACGTCATGATCTCATAATCCAGGTAGCTATGTAGACATCTTCCTGCAGGTGTCACATAGTCCTTAGTGTGAAACCAACATAGAAAGCCCATGTTTCTGATCAAATCACAGGTTCTGAAACACTAAGGGAGGCACTAAGTAGGACAACGTGGTGCCTGCGTGTCATAGCTGGGTCTCCTCAAGACATGGATCAAGTCCAGTAAGAATTGGGGAGATGCTTTAGAGTCTTGATGGAGTTATCACCACAAGCCCTCTGAGCTACACACTTTAGGGATCATGACCATTAAGTACTCAAATTACCATTTGGTTGTTATCCGGGTATCCGTCGTCCTTGTGGCAACCCTCTTGTGAAGCTGGTGTGGGCAGCCTCAGTGCTGGAGCTGTGCCTCCCTTCTGAGTGGACCCTTTCTGTGTTAGCAGGTGGGTACAAGCGTGGGGGTCAGCACACTCAGTGGATTTACACACACAGCGTTGAAGAGTAAGGCTGGGCTTCATTATTTATACATTTTCAATAAATGATGATCTTCATAACATAAAATCAATGATGTAGTACACTAGAATACTGTCCCTAGTATTGAATCTTGTCTCTCAGCAAAGGGTTGCTTAAAGTCACGTGACAGATTCCATTCAACTGATGACACATGCTGTAGCAGCAGTTAAAGCAGTCATTTGAAAAGGCTTTTACTATAAACTTATGTGTGAGCCTGAAGTGGGGGATAAAAGAGGCGATTAGCTCCCCTGTGCCATGTTTCTATTATGTGCGTGGTGGAGGAAAATTACACAGGAAGGTGATGGAGAGAACAGAGCAAAGGATTGGACAGGTCCATTGAACCCATAAGACTATGGTGAGGTTAGTGAATGAGATTGGTCATTTTAGGTCAAATTTTACCCAGAGCTGGTGCAGCCACTGCCCATTCTTAGCCAGACCTTATTGCAGGCAGCTCTGATCAATAGTCAAGGAGGCAGTGGGGCTTGCAGACTTAATTCATTAAATCACCAAAGCACCAGCCCACACGGCCACTTTTCCAGTTAATTGACAGTAGCTTGCATATTCAGGTTTGATCAGTGGAAGGGAAGTTACTCTTTGCAGACCCATTTTTGACAATCATTTTGCGGTGTCAGAAGGTCTGAGCAGCCTCGGGAGGCAAGCAGTCCCTGGTCCCTCAGTGTAGTCACTGGAGGAGACAGTCACTGAGAGGCAGCTGGCAGGGTGAAGGGCAAGGGGAGGCAGGCCACAGAGATGACAGCCTTTAAGCTGTCATACTGGGAGGTCAAGGATCTGAAAGAGGAAGGAGAATTCTTTATCATTAAGGACCTGTCCTTATCTCAGGCATTTCCTCCAGAGCACCACCTTTGTCCACCCACACACCTTGGGCTAGGAGGACTGGAGAAAGACAGTGAGGGGTCTCTTGGGTCTCTGGCACAGGGCGTGATGAAGAGGTGGCAGTTTTTCAGGAATCTCTCTCTCTAGGGAACCAAATACATTTCCCATCTCAGGTCCTTCACTCAGCGGGGTTGAGGTTCTGCTCGTCACTTATCATCTCTGAATGTCAGCACCCTCAAGTGTAAAATCTCAGCCACAGCCCCTCCTCTGCACCCCCTGCAGGGCTGATGTTCTCCATAAACCATAAGGCGTCATGCCCACGGAAAAGCCGAACAGGAAAGCATGCTCCACTGCCCCGGAGCCATCCAAGTTCCCCCTCCATATTCCGCCACTGCTAAGTGTCCAGCTTATTCCTCCTGGCATGTAGTAAACACTTAGAGAACATTACTGAAGTACCAGTCCTCTCTAAGGTTTTCCTGTATTTAGTGATTTTTTAGCCCTGTACTGTGATACTAAGAAGTAGGGCTTAAATAGGGCCTAAAAAGTATTGCTAAAATTACATTATGACAGTGCAGAGAACTGAGGGCAGAGGGAGGACATGAGCTTGCCAGGTCCACATGGCTTAGTGGAATTTGAATCCGGGCCCCCACTCTGCACCAGCCCTGCACTCACAGTCATCCGGCTGTGTTCCCCTCTCCAGGAAGGCACTGCCCACGCAGTCTGTCTGATAGAGGTGTTGAGTGCTCACTGAACTCCGTGATCTTCCTGAAACCCAACTTTGATTCAGTGGGCTCTGCTTGGAAGCCTGTAAAAAAAGGATCATAAGTTTAAACTTAGAACAGATTATCACTATTTTCCCTCTGGTCTTCTGTCAGCAAGATGTCAACAGCCCTATCTATTGTCAATGCATTAACCAGCATCTTCTCTGATAGAGAACACAAGAAGCTATGCTGTGCACACCAACCAGTGTAGGAGACCTCATGGCTCCCGGGTAAAGAAGAAGAGGTACCCACAAGAAGGTACTGTGGAAGTTCATTAATTAAGTTGATTCAAGAATTGCAGTTGCGGGGAGTATTCAGTGTCCCATATGTAAGAGGAAACTATGAAGAGACTAAGCCATATTTTTTAATGTGTCAGGATTCTAATTTGCCTGGTCAGTAAATATTGCTACCACCACAAAAGTAAATATCTACTTAAAAGTCAATTTTGGTTCATGTTTAATGATAGACAATGCTTCAAGCTAATGTCTAGAACTTACCTGGTTGTTAAATATAAGCATAGATCTCCCTGAAAGAGTGGTGCTATATTATTATTTTTCAATTAATATATTTCTTTAGAGAGTTTTAAATTGACATAAAAACTGAGCATATGGCCGGGCGTGGTGGCTCACACTTATAATCCCAGCACTTTAGGAGGCCAAGGCAGGCGGATCATCTGAGGTCAGGAGTTGGAGACCAGCCTGGCCAACATGGTGAAACCCCATCTCTACTAAAAATCCAAAAAAATTAGCCCGGTGTGGTGGCAGGTGCCTGTAATCCCAGCTACTCAGGAGGCTGAGGCAGGAGAATCGCTTGAACCCAGGAGGCAGAGGTTGCAGTGAGCCAAGATCATGCCATTGCACTCCAGCCTGGGTGACAAGAGTGAAACTCCATCTCAAAATAAATAAATAAATAAATACATAAAAATTGAGTATATAATACACGAAGTTCCCATATTATTCTGTCTCCTCACCCTCACTTCCTAATTTCACCTATTAGTAACATCTTACATTACTGTGGTACATTTGCTAGAATAATGAGAAAATATTGACACATTATTATCTGAAGTCTACATTTGCATAATGTTCATTCTTTCTGTTATACATATATATGAATTTTGAAATATTTAAAACATTATGTTCACCCTTATGGTCTCATAAAGAAAATGTTCACTTCCCTAAAAATCCTCTCTTCTCATTAATCTCTGTCCTCTTTCTCCAGAAACCTTGGCAACTATTAATATTTTTACTATCGCTTCAGCTTTGCCTTTTCCAGAATGTCATATAGTTGGAATCATATATTATGTAGTTTTTTCAGATGAATTTATTGCACTAAATTGATGTACGCTTTAGCTGCTTTCATGTCTTTTTTATGCCTTAATGGCAAAAAATGGCACATTAAATCACCAAATAATATTGCATTCAATGAATTTTTGTCTTTTTATTCACCTGTTGAAGAATTCGGTAGATTTCATGAGAGAAACCATCTGGGCCTGGTGCTTTCTTTTTCGGAATGCTCTTAATGTGAATTCAACTTATTTAGTAGACATAAGTTTATTCAAATTAGGATCCTAGCATGACCTTGGGAAGATTGCCTTTCAAGGAATTGATACATTTCACTGAGGTTATCAGACTGCGGTCATAGAACTGTTCATGATATTCCTTTTAATGCCTAACAGTTCAGTAGAGATGGCTCCTCTTTTATTTCTGAAATTGGTCATTTGTGTTATCTTCTTTTTCTTGGTTAGCCTGCATATCAATTCATTCATTGTAATGAGCATATCAAAGAACCAGCTTTTGGTTTTATTGATTTTCTGATGATTTCAGTGTTTTAATTTTATTGATTTCTGTGATGTTGTTTATTACTTTTACTTGCTTTCCATTGCATTCCTCTATTTTCTATAGTTCCCTAATTGAAACATGATATTACTGATTTTAGGTCTTGTGATTTTTAGTATATTGCATCCAATGCTATAGATTTCCCTCTAAGGACTGCTTTTGCTACATCCAGAAATCTTGCCAAGTCACATTTTCTTTTAATGTAGTTAAAAGTATTTTTAATTTTCTATTGAGACTTCTTCTTTAACCCAAGAGTTATTTAAAAGTGCATTGCTAATTTGCAAATATTTGGGGATTTTGTGGCTCTTTTACAGTTGTTGAATTTTTGTTGTCAGGTGTGTGTTGCAAAAGCAGTCGTCTACCTCATCTTGCCACCACCCAAGATGGCCCAGGATGTGGGCTCTCCCTGAGTGAATCTTTGGCAATCTGCCAACCTGATGTGTTCGGCCTCCTTCTTTAGTCTGAGCTTGCCTTCTGCTTAGAAAGGGCCATTCTCAGTTCTGGCAGGGAGTTTTCCCAACATTGAGAAGGTGGCATTCTTACTCCCCACTGCAGCCTGCACCTCTGACCGGTGGTCAGCAGACAGGACAGAGGTCCTCATTAGACAGAGTTCAGCAGGGTCTCTGACCAAAGTGCATCTTCAGAGTCTGCACCTACCCACTGTGACCACGGGCAGGCTCTGAGTCCTAAAGCAGGAGGAACTGTGCGACCATCCTGATTGGAAATTTGTGAGGATCACCGTGTTACTCAAGTAAGGTCTTTGGAAAGTGTCGTATTACTACTGTTTGTGAACTGCTTGTTGGTGGCCTGGCTGAGCCACACACTTTATGAAAACCAGGACCCCTCAGCTGGTGTGGGTGTCTATGCAGCCTGAGACCCTCATGTGAACAGCCTCGTGGCAGCTGTCTTTGCCCCTTGCCACCATCAGTGCCTCCTTGTTCCTGGGCACTGCTTTCTCTGATGGTGCTCCATTGTTTTCCTGCACCTCAGTGTCTACAGCTGGATGTCTCTTCCGCAATCTAGGCGAGGGGGCATCAACGGCAGTTCTGCTGTGGCACTGCCCTCCTTCTTAGCTTGTCTTGCTCTGTCTTAGGCTCCCTCAAAGATCCCACCCTTCAGGTTCTTCCACAAGTTTCTTATTGAAATCCGAGCAGAAAACTATGACCAATATGACCAATCCTATACCCACTGAAGACATGAATGAAGAATTAAAACAATTCTCCATGGACTCTACCATATAGATCCCTAGAAGTAATTTCTAAAAAAAAAAAAATCAAGGAAAATGTAATAGTTTTCCATAAATTAGAATACCCTACATGTACAATTAAATGAAATGGCTACTATAGTCTTGAAACCAAAACCAGATAAGGTAAATTAAATTCTGTGATATTTTAAAATACTTTAAATTCTGACTAATGTGAGTTAATCTCAACATATGAAATAGTAGATTAACATTGAAAATGCAATAAATAAAATTAGCTACCTCAAGAGTTTAATGGAAAAAAATGTGATTATTGCAATAGATTCAGGAAATTCATGAATAACATTCACCCTATATTTGTAGGACAACTATCTGATTAACTTTAAGTGACCTGTGACAACCACTTGAATTAATGCTGCTTTCACAGCATATCTCTTGGCTTGTTAAAAACCCGACAAGAATTTCCGTAACATTATTTTTAACACCTATATTGGGTGTGAACCCACCATAAAGTTTGCCCACTGAAAAGGTCTAGAATTTGATGCTTTATTAAATTGATACTGTGTGCACCCAACACCACGATCTAATTTAAATATGTTTCCCTCACCCAAGTTCTCTCTTGCGCACTGGCAGTTAATCCCCACTCCCATCTCCAGCCCTAAGCAATACTGCTGTGACATTCCATCTCCATAAATTTCCCACTTGCTTTATAGAAATGGACATATATATATATTTGGAATCTGACTTCCCTCATTTAGCATACTATGTTTGAAGTTAATTGACGTGTTAGCACGTGCTGGTCATGTGTTTTCCTTCATAGTCTGCTGTGTTTATTCATACAGATAGTGTTTATTCATTTATCAGTTAATGGACATTTAATTGTTTTGTTATTTTCTTTGATGAGTAAAGTAGCTTTGAGCATTCATATACAGTCATGTAATGCATAATGACATTTTGGTCAAAAAAAATTTTTTTTTTTCTGAGACCCAGGCTGGAGTGCAGTGGCACAATCTCGGCTCACTGGAACCTCCATCTCCCAGGTTTAAGCAATTCTCATGCCTCAACCTCCCGAGTAGCTGGGACAACTGGCACACACCACCACGCCTGGATAATTTTTGTATTTTCAGTAGAGACGGGATTTTGCTGTGTTGGTCAGGCTAGTCTCAAACTCCTAGCCTCAGGTGATCCACCCACCTCTGCCTCCCAAAGTGCTGGGATTATAGGCATGAGCCACCACACCCAGCCTAATTTTTTTAAGAAAGAAGGGAACTATTTTCTAAATTACTTTTGCCAATTTATATTCCTACCATGATGCATAGCACTAATTTCACCGTACAATGTATGGTAGGCCCCAATATGTAAGAAATGATGAAAGTAACACATAAAGATTAGTATAAGACAAATGAGATTATCGTTGTTGCTATCATCTTTGTCAAATTCTGAAAACAATCTGAGTATATTTTTATATAAATATGCTTGGCAACATAGCTGAAAAAAGCATTATCAGTTACATTTATCAGTAACAAAGACATAAATTTGAAGGGGGAAAAACACTTGTACTAACAATGCAATGTCAGAATTAACATAAAAATTCTGCTGGTCACTTTGGAATATTTAATTGCCTGGGGCAGTGTTTAGTAGACAAATGAGCATCTATGGAGCACCCAAAGTAGGGGAATCAACAGAACTTGGGTTTCAAAAGTTATCTGGGTTTAGAGCGTGAAACTTTGTTAGAGGACACACACCTTGCATGAGTGAGGTGCCTTGGTGTGTGTGGACGTATCATTATGCTTGGAGGTACAGCATAATGGTGGCTTCCTCCAGAAAGGGACATTTGGGGTAGATTCATGCCATCTAGACAACACAGCCTGATGTGGCATGGACATGAATGGAGGTGAAATGGTCAGTAGTTGAGAGGATCAGTCCTGACAAGGGCCGAGGTGAAAAACCTGGGAACCCCTTCAGGTGCAAAGTCTTCAGTTGAAAAAGGAGGTGGTCACAGGAAATACTGAGATGGGTCAGCAATGCATGGGAGACAGAGTTCTTGGCCCTGCAGGGTGAGTAGTGTGGATTCTCAAGTTTTCTCCTCTCTCCATTAATTTCTTTCCCAATGCAGATGACTTCCATCATACAGTCTTCAGCAACCTTGAAAGATTGGACAAGCTTCAGCCCACTCTTGAAGGTAAAGGAAGGCAGCTAACAAGACTGGCATCTGGGCTTGGCTGTGCATGTTTTCTATCGTGGGGAAATATATATAACACATTATTTATCATTTGAACCTTTTAACCAAAGTGTGCACTCCGTGGCATTCAATATATTCACAGGGTTGCATAACCAACACCACTATCTACACCCACAATTTTGATGATTTCTTACAAAACCTTGTCCACAATAAGCAATATAGCGCCTTCCCCCTATTTCCAGCCCATGGTGATTCCTATCCCACTTTCTCTTGTATGAATTTGACTATTCTAGGCACTTCATGTAATTACAATTATACAATATATTCCTTTTGTGTCTGGCTTATTTCACTAAGCATAATGTTCTCAATGTCCACCCATGTTGTATCATCTATCAAAATGATGTTCGTTTTTTACAGATGGATGATGTAGCATTGCATGCAGACCACCTTGCTTTTATTACATTCATTTGTTCACTGATGGTTGGATTATTTCCACCTTTTGGCTCCTGTGAAAAGTGATGCTACAAACATTAGTATACAAACATCTGTTTGATTTCTGTTCTCTATTCTTTGGGGTGCCTAAGAGTAGAGTTCCTGGGTCCAACAGGGGTTCTATATTTAACCTTCTGAGCCACTGCAGACTGTTTTTCACAGTGGCTGCAACTTTATCCATTTCTACCATCAATGTATCAGGGTTACAATTTCTTTACATCCTTGTTCACACTTATTTTCCTTTAAATCATCCTAGTAGGTGTATATTGGTGGCTGCTTGTGTTTTTCATTTGCATTTCCCTAATGACTAATGATCCTGAGCAGCTTTTCCTGTGCTACTATTTGTGGCTATATCTTCTTTAGGGAAATATATGTTGAAGTCTTTTGCCCATTTTTAAAGAGTTGTCTGATTTTTATTTAGTTAGTTTGTTGTTGTAGATTTTTGAATATATCTTAAATATATTTAAAAATATTCTAAATTTTAGTCTCTTACAAGATAAATGATTTGCAAATATTTCCCCCTTTGTGTAGAAGTTTAGATTCACAAACTTCATTAATTTGTATGAAATCCTCAGCAGTTGACCCCAAACAGATAAGACTGAAGCAGTATTTTAGGAATAGTTGAAAGTATGATCACCACAAAACATAAGCGTAATCAAATCCTGCAAGCTACATGTAAGGCACAATGACAAATAAGGCAGCAAAGGGCCATCTGGTGATTAGTTCACCACACTTGTTGCAACTGTTTGCGCTGCAGAGTTAAAACATACCAGCATTCAACCCATGTCTCCTGTCTTGAAGTAAACTGTCGTATGTTGGCTGGCCTGAACAAGCGTAGATATTCTCCATCCTCAATTAATATGCATGCATGACAAAGAAAAGGAGGCCTGGATGAAAAAATATTGTGTGATTAATAATTATGCTTTAATTAATTTTAAAGGATATAATTTCAGTACTTCTAATTCTCCCATCAGCAGTTATAACAAAGGATTAGTGAATAAATACCATAGACTGTTTTGCCTAGAATTGAATCCAATCTGTCTATTAAACTTTGCTTTTATTCAAGTGCAAAATGCTAAAACACATAATAACTGCAGTGACAGCCACTGTGGATCCTCAGAGGTAAAAGTAGTCTTGGGACATAAATCCTGCAAGTAATATTGTTTTTACAGGTTTAGAAAACCATTTAGCTGGGTTTCAAACCTCACAGTGTGAGCAGTGGGACTCTCATCAAACTATAGCATGTGCTTCAGTACCATTTGTAGACTGACTCATTCCCATTGCCTTAAGTTGCCATCAGCAAAATGCCAGGGACTCTATTTCTTGCTCCTTAGCTCCTCGTTCTTGCCTGTCTTTCCACGAGGGAGGATTTTCTAGCAGGAGCTCAAGCTGTGCTTTTAATGAAACACATCCACACACACTGTCCTGTTGTCCACATTAAGCAGAGCTCCCTGAATAGCTCATGAACAAAAGCATCTGTGACTAACTGTTGCTCTGTGTCCTCCTAGCCTCTGAGGAGTCTCTAGTTCACAAGGACAGAGGAGATGGAGAGAGGCCAGTCAACGTGAGGGTAAGGTTGCCTTGCTTTCTCTGAAATAGAAATGTTCCTTTCTTGTTGTCTTTCTTTTTCAACTGACTTTACATGTGAAAAGATGACAATGTCCATGACAGGTATTAAATGCAGTTTTCTGAGGGGGAGGAAGAAGTGACTCTTAGCAACTGATATGTAATCCAAAATGGCATTTAGCTATGATGGCTTCAGGTTGTAGACTGTATCCTTGGGGTCCTTGTCCTTGGAAGCAATGTCTTCTCCTTGGATTCAGTATTTTGCACTTGCCAACCTACGTGGACCTGAGAGATCCACCATCCAGAAGCTGATGTCTTTTCCAGTGTGTATCCTACCCTTGTTTTGGAGGCCTTGAAGTTGACTACACTTTCTGATCAAGTTTTCAATATTCATTGAGAGAAACACAGCCTTGTGCAAACAATCCACAACATGACATACCCCTCAAAAAGCTTTGTTTCTGTATTGCAGGTGGTGCAGGTGGCCCCTCTGAGGCGTGAATCTAGTAAGTATTCTGGAATCACTTACCGAGAAAACAATCTGGATGCCAAGAAAGGTGTGGCATCCTTGCCTGGTTTCAATGTGAAGAGCCACCCTGATCCTGGGATTGTGATAGGAATAAGTATAGGGGAAGTGTTTTTTTAAAACCTGAATTCCCCAGGGAAAAATTATGGCCAAATTTTGAGGAAGCAGCTGTGCTCCCTTTTGGGTGGTGCTGAGTTGGGTGCTTGAGGATTGGTGGTGTCTTGTGTGAGGCTGCATCGTGTGGTGTGAATGTGTGTGTTTCTGTACAGGTGAGGCTGTGTGTTTTCTCAGGAGAGATTTCCCACTTATACAACCCAATCACCAGTGTCCACTTCTAACAATAAAATCCACCCCCGCTCTACTCTCTCTGTACAGTGACTCCTCCACCCTCACCAGAGCCATCCCCGGGTCTGCCTTATTATCCCCACTGCTCAGGTGGAGAACCTGAAGGGCCAAGGGAGTGGCCCCAGCTCCCGAGTTCCTGAATGAAAAAGTGAAAACACGAACCCAGGAGTGTGGGCCAGTGCTGACGCTGACATGCACTTAGTCATGGGGTGTTCACCACCACACAGGGAGTCCAGCATTCATGTATAAACCCTAAAGCAACGAGCCCAAAAGGCCCCAGGCACTGCCCATCATCATAAAGTGGCCTCCGTGGTCACACAACCCAGGGCAGTTATAGGTTCATCTCCCCACGGACAGGCATAGTCATCAGTGTGTCAAAAGCACAAAGATCCCCAGGTGTTTGGCTCAGCTCACCGATCCTTTTTTTTTTTTTTAACTTTTAAGTTCAGGGGTACATGTGCAGGATGTGCAGGTTTGCTACATATATAAATGTGTGTCATGAGAGTTTGTTGTACAGATTATTGCATCACCCATATATTGAGCCTAATATCAGTTATTTTTCCTGATCCACCCCCTCCTCCCACCTCCCACCCTCCAGTAGGCCCCACGCTCACAAATTCTAAGAGGAGTGGGGGACCACAAAGGCCAGTGTGGCCCACTTCAGTTGTGAAGTTAATTTGCTCAGCAACTGGCCAAAGTCTATAAGGATGGGTGATGTATTTTAGTAGATTTAGTAATACTATCTTCCCAAGCCCTAAAATGCTCAAATCCTGCCAGCCAAAAATGGTGAGGAGGGACAGATAGGAACTCTGTGTGGCACTTGGTTATTAGCCTGGCTTCCATCCCTTAGTGGCAACTCTCTTGTATATGTGGGTTAAAGACCCTCAGCCTCAAGCCAAGCCTCCTCCATGAGGAGCCATCTCACTATTGACCGGCTAGTGCCGGGTATGGCCACCAGCCCAACTGAAACAAAATGTTGCTTTAAAACAAGTGTAAATCTCATACATACAACAGGCAAATGCAGAAGCAGTGTGGTCTCGCAAGTTGTAAAGAGGACAGTCGCAATTTTGCTGGACTTCAACCTGGGTAGAAGACATGAGGGAACTCTGTCACTAAATCACGGCAGAGTTCAAGGCCACTTGTAGACTATTTCATGTTACAGAAGGTGGCCTTTAGCTACTAAGCAAAGGCCTCTGTTTCTCATTTCTTTCCTGTTCATCTTCTTGGTCATCCTTCTTCCGCAAGGGAAACGAGCCCAAGCAAAAGGCAGTTTCAATATTAATTTGACCGAGGTTTTGTGCAGTTTATTATCATCCAGGTAATCAGGTGCAACCCAGTCTGCCTAGCAGCCCCCCTATCTCTGCTCTGTGTTTTCATTTAATAAACATTTTGGTCTACTTACTATGTGCTAGATTTTCTCGAGACCAAGTAAATGAGATAGAATCTTTATGCTGGCAGCTAAGTTAGATTTCACATAACTGACAAAAATTAAAATTTCTGATTTCTTGTAAAAACATTTTGTATGTGTGAATGCATACTGAATGTAAAGTGGATAAAAAACTCACACTTGCACTCATGGAAGGCTTTTCATGAATTTGTCAATTTTTATTTTTTATATTTCCCCACTTCACCAGATAATGCATACCTGAACCTGGAAACTGATTCCCACTGCAGAAAGTGTTCTGAGCCACATCCCTTAGCTTCACTAGTGCAGGTCCACCTGGGAGGATGTCCCAGCATCAGCTTGACCCATGCTGTGATCAGCCACCTCCATGCATCACACCAAGCAAGCCCCTGGGTGATTCACAGTCTCCACCACCAGGGCACTGACCTTAACTCTGTGTTTTTCTAGCTCCCCATGAGGACACCGTACACGACATCACTAACGAGGACGCCACACACGACATCGCTAACGAGGATACTGTACACGACATCGCTAACGAGGCCGCCGACAAGGGCATCGCCAACGAGGATGCCGCCCACAGCATCGCCAACGAGGACGCCGCCCACGGCATCGCCAGCGAGGACGCCGCCCACGGCATCGCCAGCGAGGACGCCGCCCACGGCATCGCCAGCGAGGACGCCGCCCAGGGCATCGCCAACGAGGACGCCGTCCAGGGCATCGCCATGGAGGACGCCGTCCACGGCATCGCCAACGAGGACGCCGCCCAGGGCATCGCCAACGAGGACGCCGCCCAGGGCATCGCCAAGGAGGACGCCGCCCAGGGCATCGCCAACGAGGACGCCGCCCAGGGCATCGCCAAAGAGGACGCCGCCCAGGGCATCGCCAAGGAGGACGCCGCCCAGGGCATCGCTAACGAGGCCGCCGACAAGGGCATCGCCAACGAGGATGCCGCCCACGGCATCGCCAGCGAGGACGCCGCCCACGGAATCGCCAGCGAGGACGCCGCCCACGGCATCGCCAGCGAGGACGCCGCCCACGGCATCGCCAGCGAGGACGCCGCCCAGGGCATCGCCAGCGAGGACGCCGCCCAGGGCATCGCCAGCGAGGACGCCGCCCAGGGCATCGCCAACGAGGACGCCGCCCAGGGCATCGCCAAAGAGGACGCCGCCCAGGGCATCGCCAAGGAGGACGCCGCCCAGGGCATCGCCAAGGAGGACGCCGCCCAGGGCATCGCCAACGAGGACGGCGCCCACGGAATCGCCAACGAGGACGCCGCCCAGGGCATCGCCAACGAGGACGGCGCCCAGGGCATCGCCAGCGAGGACGCCGCCCAGGGCATCGACAAGGAGGACGCCGCCCAGGGCATCGCCAACGAGGACGCCGCCCAGGGCATCGCCAACGAGGACGCCGCCCAGGGCATCGCCAACGAGGACGCCATCCAGGGCATCGCCAAGGAGTACGCCGTCCACGGCATCGCCAACGAGGACGCCGCCCAGGGCATCGCCAAGGAGGACGCCGCCCAGGGCATCGCCAAGGAGGACGCCGCCCAGGGCATCGCCAAGGAGGACGCCGCCCAGGGCATCGCCAACGAGGACGCCGCCCAGGGCATCGCCAAAGAGGACGCCGCCCACGGCATCGCCAACGAGGACGCCGCCCAGGGCATCGCCAACGAGGACGGCGCCCACGGAATCGCCAGCGAGGACGCCGTCCAGGGCATCGACAAGGAGGATGCCGCCCAGGGCATCGCCAACGAGGACGCCGCCCAGGGCATCGCCAACGAGGACGCCGCCCAGGGCATCGCCAAAGAGGACGCCGCCCACGGCATCGCCAACGAGCTGTATACGACATCGCTAACGAGGACACCCTACAAGCCGTCGCTAACAAGTACACTGTACACAACATCGCTAATGAGGGCACTGTACAAGACATCACCAATGAGGGCGCTTTATACGACATTGCTAATGGCACCGACAAGGCACGCTAACGTGGACGCTGTACACGACATTGCTAATGAGGACAGCGTATAAGACATCGCTAGTAACTATCGCAAGAACAAAAAACCAAACACCGCATATTCTCACTCATAGATGGGAATTGAACAATGAGATCACATGGACACAGGAAGGGGAATATCACACTCTGGGGACTGTTGTGGGGTTGGGGGGGGAGGGATAGCATCGGGAGATATACCTAATGCTAGATGATGAGTTAGTGGGTGCAGCACACCAGCATGGCACATGTATACATATGTAACTAACCTGCACAATGTGCACATGTACCCTAAAACTTAAAGTATATATATATAAAAAAAGACATCGCTAGTGAGCACGCTGTATACGACATCGCTAATGAGGACACCATACAAGGCATCGCTAACGATGACGCTGTACACAACATCACTAATGATGACACCGTATAAGACATCGCTAATTATGACGCTGTATACGACATCGCTAATGACACCGTACAAGGCACGCTAACGAGGATGCTGTACACGACATCACTAATGAGGACAGTGTACAAGCCATCACTAATGAGGACACTGTATATGGCATCGCTAACGAGGACACTGTACAAGGCATTGCTAACGAGGACGCTGTACACAACATCGCTAATGAGGACACCATATAAGACATCACCAATGAGGATGCTGTATATGACATCGCTAATGGCACCCACAAGGCATGCTAACGAGGACGCTGTAGACGACATTGCTTATAAGGACACCGTACAAGACATCGCTAACGAGGACGCTGTATACGACATCGCTAATGAGGACGTTGTATATGACATCGCTAATGAGGATGCTTTACAAGACATAGC
Organism: Homo sapiens; assembly: GCF_000001405.40. Classification (NCBI taxonomy): domain Eukaryota; kingdom Metazoa; phylum Chordata; class Mammalia; order Primates; family Hominidae; genus Homo; species Homo sapiens. Next base: position 109,513 of record NT_187386.1, on the reverse strand, counting down.
TAATGAGGTTGCTGTATATGACATCGCTAATGAGGACATTGTATATGACATCGCTAATGAGGACGCTCTATACGACATCACTAATGAGGACGCTGTATACAACATCGCTAATGAGGACGCTGTATATGGCATCGCTAATGAGGATGCTGTATACGAATTCGCTAATAAGGACGCTGTATATGACATTGCTAATGAGGACACTGTACAAGACATCTGTAAAAAAGAAGATGCTGCCAATGTAAGACACTTTTCTTTGTCTTGAACAGAAATGTTACTTTCCTGGCTTCTTTCCAATCAGATGTAGACATGAACATCTGCCAGTGTGCATTATCGATGTCATCTGCAGTTTAATCAAATGTAGACATGAACATCTGCCAATGTGGACTATTTATGACATCTGCAATTCCCTTGGTGTGGTGCTATTGATTGGCAGCCTCTCACCAACCCATGCCAGGCACACTGGGGTGTGGTAGATGGCAGCATCCACGATCCACTGCAATGCAGAGGTGTTTCCCTCCACAGCAGTTTTCCCCCATGGATTAAGAGTTGTGAAACTGCCAATCTAGATACACTTTAAAGATAAATTCTGTGGGAAAAGGTCTTGTCTTTTCCACAGGTGTCTTCCGTGCCAGTTTTGGGGGACTTCGACCTTTGACTCAATCACTATACCCCTTCCTATTTTCTCTCTCAAGTTGTCGAGAGACTATCAGATCTGTGTGACGTGTATGGCATCATTTCACCCTCCTAATGTTTTCTTTTCTATAATTGCAGGAGCCATTGACACTGGAGAATGATACGTACCCTGAAATAACTCACTTCCTGAGGAAAAAGCGCCATCTCTAGGGTACAGAAACCTGATTCTGGGCTCCTTTTGGGAAGGAGGATTTGGGGTCTGGTGAGAGCAAATGATTTTGCAAGTATAAAACCATGTCCAGAGAGGCTGTAGGGATATCTGTGGGCCCAGAGGAAACACCAGGGGATCCTGTGCGAAGCACCATGGCTTCAGCTAGGGTGGGAGGAGTGGGTGGGCCTCTCTCTAATGACTTATCCTGGTGTTTGTGTTTCTAAAGATTTGATTGTGGAGAGCATATCTGATGATGGGGATTTGTAGGTAGGTAACTGCTTTCCACGTAAGATCCAATTGGAGAGAGTTCCCAGGGGCCTTCGGGGTATCCATGCTGCTTGGGAGGTTAAGGGAGGGGGCATGAAATCAAAACGAAACAGGAAATATGTGTCATATTGGATTTGGTCTTTTCCGGGTTTATTGGCATAATAGTTGGAACTGTCTCTCTGGGCTATGAGGGTGCTGTGTTATTTAAAGGTGGTCTTTCCCAGAACACCTGGCCTTTTCTTTTCTGCCTCTGCCAAACATCACAGCCTTTGGGTTGGATTAGTCAGCACCCCTTGGGATTGTGCAGAAGAGGTTTGGGGTTGCATCGAGTGTCACCTGTGGTGAACAGAATCTGAGGGACACAACTCTCTCACAGGCACTTCCTCCAACCTGGAGACAGAGTTCTCCTGGTGTGTGCCCAGGGGTGGAGGAGAAATTGACAGTCTGCCTCTGAACTTTCAGGACTTTAAAAAGCACTCATGTTTCCATCCTCACTGTTGACTCCTGGCTTAAAGGGATCTCCCGGGGTGAGTGAGGAGGCGGGATCGGACCCTGGCAGTCTGACGGCAGCACCTGTGTTCCTCTGCACTGGGCCGTGGATGACATTACACACCTTGGTGAGAATCAGGAATTGAGGCTAACCACATCTGAAATTGAGATGGGCCTTGAGTCATATAAATAGTTTGGAAAAGATGCATTTTACTACGCTATTGAAAGAAACCATTTATTTCTCACTCCAGCAGGATAAATGGTTTTCAGTATCCATTTAACTGCTCATTGACTCTTACTGTAGATGAGGAGGTGGCCAGCAGCCCCTGCCCTCCCCCAGTTGGTAGGCCCAAGGTAACCAGCAATTGACTGGATATAATGGAAGAGTGGTGCATTCGGAGGTATCTGTATTAATGGGACCCACATGATATGGATGAGAGCTATTAGGGTGAGAAAAAGCCTGGGAGCACAATGAAATATTTAAATATTAAACAAAACATTGTTGAAATCTCCATTGTACTTTAGTAGTTGAAGTCATTCTTGTGGTCATCACTGCCTTTCCCAAGCATAACAAGCTACTTAATATCACATGGACCCGTGCCATGAGGAATGATGATCAGTTTGTAAAATGCCAATAAAACAATTGCCTATATAAGCCACAATGTTTCATCCATATATTTCAATTTCCATGTGTAAGTATAGTTCAAATTTCAGAAATTTATTATTATCTAATAGAATATGCATGGTATATCAATGAGCAATTATCATACTGTTTCTATTAACAATTATTTGTATGATGAAAAAAGCAGACTCCCATTCTTGGATTTTTCTCAGTTTGCACACATTAGCATGACAGCCCCATTTCCACCTGACATGTGCCAGCAAGAGGCCAGGAACAGAGGCTTTTCTTATTAACTAAGATTTCTAAATGTATTACGTATTCACATTTAGAAACTCTAAATATCATAAAAGGTTAGCAAGGAAGTTTCCCTTCCACTCTGAACTTCCAAACACCAAGTCAACATTTTTGTTTGCATATCATCCCTGCAATCTATGTGCAAATAGAAGCATGCACCTGGAATGCAGGCTGATGTGTGATCGTGTTTACACAAAGTCCTCTGCACCTCTGCATATATCACTGGGCAATGCACCTTAGTTATCATTCCACATTTCAAATGTAAATCCATTGTATTGTTTCAGAGCTATAAAGTACTGCACCCCATGACTATTCCCAAAATTACTTAAGCACCCCGCTATGGGTATCCATTTGTTCTGTTTCCAGTCTTGCTCTTATAACCAATGCTGTAGTGAACAGCACTGTGTTGAGAAGCGGTGAACGTGGGCATCTTTGTCTTGTTCCCTTCCTCAGGGGGAATGCTTTCAACTCTCCCCCATTCAGGAAAATGTTGGCTGTGGGTTTGTCATAGATAGCTTTTATTACCTTAAGGTATGTCCGTTCTACGCTGATTTTGATGAACGGTTTTAATCATAAAGAAATGCTGGATTTTGTCAAAGGCTTTTTCTGCATCTATTCAGATTATCATGTGATTTTTGTTTTTAGTTTTATTGATGTGATGTATCACATTTATTGACTTGCGTATGTTAAACCATCCCTGCATCCCTAGTATGAAACCCACTTGAATCATGGTGGATTATCTTTTTGATATGCTGTTGGATTCAGTTAGCTTGGTTGTAGCATTTCTTATTATTCCATCTGTGGAATGTATTGGTTGAAATAATGAAAACATGTTCTATCCTCACTGCTTAGCACTTTGTGTTTCTTTAATAGCCTTCCCAACAGGGCAACATAAAAGCAGGAGCCCTGCTAGTCTCCCCTTAACCCGGAATCCCCCCTTCTCCACAGCTCGCTCATTGGACAGGATAGACTGGGCGCCCAGGCTTCAAGGTAAGGACGTGCTCTGTCACCTAGAGGTGCAGTGCTTGGGAAGGCCAACCTTGGAGGGTTGCCTGCCAGCTTTACAGTGACAGAGGTGTTGAGAGGGACTGACCACCAGTGCATAAGGCTGTGCTTTGTTGGTGACATAAAGGATTGTTTCACAGATTGTTGGGGAGGGACAATCCCAAGGCCTCCCCTGGCCCTGGTGCTGGCTCTGCACAAAGGCAATAAGAGAGGGATGCTGGTAAGGGCTGACCTGTTGCTGTGCTGGGGAGGAAGGTGCTGGGCTGAAATTCAGGAGGCTGAGGATGCAGCAGTCCCATAGGAGGTACATGACCTTCAGGATACATTTTCTTCATTGATGATCAATGGAAATGAGAAATCACTGACTATTTTTTCTATCATTGGAATCTACTCTCCACTGCTCATGCTGTTCCTGTCTTTTGGGGAAGATGGAGGATCAATCAGTGTGCGCTGCACTGAGTGGAAGGAAGGAGAACTGTGACAAAAATTAAGGAAGGATGAGAGACGGGAGGGCCCTTCATCCAGCTGCTTGCAGAGTCCTCCTGAGGAGGAAAGCCCCGTGGCTCCCTGGCGAAGGAGCAGTGAGGGCTGCGTGACTCCCACAGTGAAGTGTGTGGTATGTCTGAGGACACCCAGGCTGGTGGTCCATGAGGAGCCAGTGGCAGAGTGAGAAGAAGAAAGGCCAGGAGGGTGGCTGGAGGCCAGGCTCTGAGTCATTCTCCATGTGATGGAAACAGCCGGAGCCCAGTGGGCTTGGAGGTACAGGATGCGGTGGCTGATGACAGAACAATGTGGAGAGAGGCGTCATTTGTCAAATCCTTACTTTGTTCTGGGCATTGTGCTAAAAATTCTGATGGCTCATCCCATTTAGGGGCTGAAAGTTGCAGAGGTTTAGGAAGCTCACCCACGATACTGGAGCCCCCATCTCCTGCCCTAGTGCTGTCCACCTTCTCACCCAGCCACCACCTGTTTCGGGGGAACACACAGAAGTGGTAACCTCTTATGGAGAGGCAAGTAAATTCTGCTGTTTTTGTTATTCACAGAAAAACACTGGCTCGTGTGGGTTGGGAAGGTGAAATACCAGAAGTATTTCATCTGGTTATTTCTACCCATGCGACTCCTATAGTATTGAAATGCATAGGTTAGCATTTTTGGCCAATTTACTCAGCATTCTGGGTTAAAGGCTTTTATTTATTTTATTTATTTATTTATTTATTTTTGAGATGGGGTTTCACTCTTGTTGCCCAAGCTGGAGTGCAATGGTGCGATCCTGGTTCATTGCAACCTCCGCCTCCCAGGTTCAAACTATTCTCCTGTCTCAGCCTCCCAAGTAGCTGAGATTATAGGCACATGCCACCACACTGGGCTAATTTTTTTGTATTTTTAGTAGAAATGAGATTTCACCATGTTGGTCAGGCTGGTTTCGAACTCCTGACCTCAGGTGATCTGCCCTCCTCGGCCTCTTAAAGTGCTGGGATTACAGGCGTGAGCCACCACGCCTGCCCTAAAGTCTTTTAAAATTCACTTGTATAAGTTGACTTAGTTTTCTTTAACCTTGTAGAAAAATACAAAAATGGCAATCTCTTTTATCACACAAATAATGTCTTTTTAATGGAGTGATTTTTTTCTAATTGAGGTATTATGTACTTTTCATTTACTAATTATTGTTTACATTTGAAGTGTTTTATGAATTAATATTTAATTGCATAGATGAAGATTACTAGTTATAGGCATTTTACTAACCAATACTCATTAAGCATAGCGTGGATTCCTATGACATCAAGGAGCTATTTTATTTGGTAAAACGAAAAAGCACAAGAATGAACGAACGCAAGAACTGAAACAGTGGAGACACCTAGAATGACTTGTCTAAGATCTAAATCATTTTGTTGTCTTCCCAGCGTACTTATTATCCTGATCATTGTCATCAGCATTGTTTGGGTCCTTTTAGCACAGATTTCTCAAAATGGGTAACTCCATAACAGTTGGAAGCTTACGAATTCATATAATTTGTAAGAGGTCAATTTGGAAGTACCTATCTATTTTAAAATTCCAATAACCTGGGAATTTCATCCCATGTCTAGAGTCTTTTATGTAAAATATTTCCACAATTAGGAGAAATATGTGCATGGGGATTTTCTATGTAGCGGTGTTTTGATGGAATAGAAAATTGGGATAAACCAAATTTCCATCACGAAGGAAATAGTAATATGCTGAATAATAATACAGCGAATATTATGCAGGCTTTAAACATCAAAAAAGAGTTCAACTTCTGACTTCCGATGATGGTGTTGAAGCAGGTCACTGCTGGTTTACATTTGATTTTCATGTGGGAACTCTGGAAGTCCGCCTTAGTGATTTTACATGTGGCTAAATTGAGCTAATGACAAGCTGTTCGAAGTATGGCAAAATGGAACTTTAAAACAGTATCTTGTCAACAACCAAGAGGACCTGTTTCACATAAAGCCCACGCATTCATCTGCCTGTCCATCATTCTGTCTGTCCACACGGGCATCATTCATTAGTGGAACTGAGTGCCCGCTGTCGAGCTGACAAGCCCATAACCTCCCTGTTCCTAGTCACACATTAATTCTTCAACAAGTCCCTTTTGATAGATTGTGATTAAGCTTAGCTACTATTTCCAATTGCTTCCCCAAACGTACTTCTCACTGTTCTCCCATCACACCCTTCAGCCCATCCATGCGGGGTTCCTTTGCTTTTCCCACCTTACACCAAACTCCCTATTTTTACTCCCACTTTGACCTCCTCTCCAAGACAAAACAAACAAAACTAGCATTTTAAAACTTAGTTGTAATCTTTCTTCCTTCATGAAAATTTCTCCAACAGCCACTCCCACGGTCCTGTGTGTTCCGGATATTTTAAAATAATGGCTATAAGGTTGAGCACTTCAGGATACGCTGTTTTGCTGTGTGCAGATGGAGGCAGTGGCTGGAGTGAATGAACGGCAACACTTGCTGGCAACCGGCAGAAGCTGAGAGACAGGGAACAGGCTCTCCTCCAGAGCCTCCAGGAGCCAGGCCTTTGGACACCTTGAATGTGGGCTTCTGGGAGACCATGCGTTTCTGTTATAAGCAGCCCAGTCTCTGGCAGTTTTTACGGCTGCCCCGGAACACTCATCTATACCTGTCTGACAAGGTCAAGCTCCAAGGAAGGGACTCTCTACATATCTACATTGTTTGCAGATTTTACAATAATCATTTATTCTTGCATGGCTGATCATTGTTAACCAATACAAATAAAATAATAAAGAAATGACCCACATTTTATGTTGGGAGTTTGATCTGCCATTTATCAAGTATGGAATCTTGAACAAGGGGTTAAACATCTGAATGTCTCCATCACTTCATCTCTAAAGTGGGGGTGCTCACACCCACTGGGCTCCCCCGCCCAGGTTGGTGCCGGACTCTCCCTGGGCCCCCCTGTTCTCTCACCAGCCACATCCATTCTCCCCCCAGAGGCGCTAGTGACTGTGCGTGGCTTTCCATTCCCACCACGTTTGTCTCTAACCCCAGTGGCAGATCAGTGTAAGAACACAGCTGAGTGCTCCTCGCCTCCTTGCCCCTTCAAGGGCTCCTCACCACCCACCAGATCAGGTGCAAACTTCCAAGCCTTACTGGATCCCCTTCCACATTCTGAGCTCCGCCTGCCTTCCCATCGCTATCCTTCCCCACCTGCCTCCCTGGTAGAGAAAAGCAGAGTGTGTGATGCTGTCTGAATGCTGAGCACGGCCTTTTGCAGCCAGTCCACTGTGTACGCTGCCCCTATCGGAGACCTCCACCTTAACCCTTTCCAGCCTGGAGGCTCCTCCCAGGGCCCCACAACAGAAGTGACTTCCCTTGCCTTTGAATTTCTATAACACAAGCCCTACTGCCCCCCGTTAAAACTGCAAAGTCCTTTTGTGGAAAATAACTTTATTCATGACTGTGTTTATCACACTATCTTATGGAGAAGAGATGATCAATAAATATTTGCTGAATAAATGAATAGCAGTTACAAAACACTTGATTCATATGGAATTAATGTTGGTTCTCAAAGTGAAAAATTACAAACAGCACTGATATTCAGCCAGTATACAAGTCTGGTCACAGCAGTTGTATAATACTGAAATACCCCCTGCCACTGACCTTTGGCCCCCAGATGCCTCCCACTGCCACTGCTCTCCCCACTGGGAACCCCTGAAGTTCCCACAGGCTCATAACTAAAGGGCTAATGTCTCGCACAGCAGCGAGCACCCAGGACCGAGCAGCCACATGGCCGGGTCTGCTGGTGAAAGCATCCATTCTGACTGATCAGGACCTGAGGGGCCTCATGGTTACATATTTTGATAATATCCCTAATTATAAATAAGGCTCAGTTATATAGTTTGAAAACAATGCTTCTCCTCATTGCAAAATCTCTTAGAAGACTCCGTAGATCCAGGAACGGAAATGGAAAATGACAGCGTGTCAATCTCTGAAGGTTTTGGGCATTTCCATTAGCACTCCATCTTCATGTAAACCAGAAGATATGCAGTTTCCTGCCTAGAGAGAAGAGAAGACACATCAGCACAGCGGCATGAAACCTTCATCAGAAAACAATGCTTCATTAATCCGTGACAGGACAAGCGTCAGCAAACTTCCAGGCGGCTGGATTAGGCCTTCATCTATCCATCACCTTGGAGAGGAACAAAATAGGTGGCCTGGGAAGTTAAGCACTATGTTTCTATTAGTTAATATCTAAAGCGGAGGTTAACAAGCTATGGACACACAAGCCAAACCCAGCCCTCTTGGGGTTTTTTAAATCTACTTTCAACTTTTATTTTAGATTCAGCGGGCACATGTGCAGGTTTGTCACGTGGATATGAGCATACTCCCCAACAGTTGGCCTTTCACCCCTCCCCTCCCTCCCCATCCAGCAGTTCCCAGTTGTTGCCATCTTTAAGTCAATGAGTCCCCATGTTTAGCTCCCATTTATAAGAGAGAACATGCATTATGTTTTGTTTGGTTTTTGCTGGTTTTTTTTTTTTTTTTTTTAATGGAGTCTTGCCCTGTAGCCCAGGCTAGAGTGCAGTGGCACAACCTTGGCTCACTGCAACCTCCGCCTCCCAGGTTCAAACGATTCTCCCTCCTCAGCCTCCCGAGTGGCTGGGACTACAGGCGCCCGCCACCACGCCCGGCTAACTTTTTGTATTTTTAGTAGAGACAGGGTTTCACCGTGTTAGCCAGGATGGTCTCAATCTCCTGACCTCATGATCTGCCCACCTCAGTCTCCCAAAGTGCAGGGATTACAGGCGTGAGCCACCGTGCCCAGCCTTTTGTTTATTTTTTGATGAGACCGTTCTTGCTCTGTCACCAGGCTGGAGTGCACTGGCACAATAATAGCTCACCACAGCCTCGTGCTCCTGGGCTCAACTGACCCTCCTGCCTCAGTTTTAGCTTCCTGAGTAGCTAGGACTACGGGTGTGTACCACCATGCCTAGCTATAATAATTTTTATTTTTTTGTAGAGATGGAGTCTTGCTTTGTTGCCCAGGCTGGTCTTGAACTCCTGGCTTGAAGTGATCCTCCTGCCTCGGCCTCCCAAAGTGCCGGGATTAAAGGTGGGAGATCGCACCCAGTCTCCAACCCTCTTTTTGCAAGTAAATGTAACTGGACCCCAGCCATGCTCATCTGCCCATGTACTGTCTGCGGCTGCTTTTGCTCTACAGGGCAGAGTTAAGTGGTTGCAACAGACACCGCACAGACCACAAAGTCTGAAGTACTTTCTCTCCAGCCCTTTACAGAGAAAGTCTGCCAACCTCTGATCTCAATAACAGGGAAATCAATGACAACCACAAAGTGACAAAGATTGGGTGTCTAAGATGGATGTTCAGAATAAACAAGAGAGAAAGATGAGAAGTAGAAGGAGGATTTCAAACGCAAGCTTCACCTAATCCGTTATTTTTCAAATGACCAGGCCTATCTCTGTAGCCGAAAATCACCTCAAATAGGATCTCTGATATACAGTCTCCAAAAGCTCAGCTAAGAAACTTACAAAGTCTCTCTGCCTTAACTTCATCCACCTTTTTTCTCTCCAGCTTCTCCTCGGTAGTTAATGATTATAAAAATATTTATTGGCTCATGCCTGTAATCCCAGCACTTTGAGAGGCCGAGGCGGGCAGATCACGGTCAGGAGATCGAGACCATCCTGGCTAACACGGTGAAATCCCGTCTCTACTAAAAATACAAAAAATTAGCCAGGCGTGGTGGCGGGCGCCTGTAATCCCAGCTACTCAGGAGGCTGAGGCAGGAGAATGGCGTGAACCCACAAGGCGGAGCTTGCAATGAGGCGAGATCCCACTACTGCACTCCAGCCTGGGCGACAGAGCAAGACTCCATCTCAAAACAAACAAACAAACAAACAAACAAACAAAAAAACAGTGTGATGGCCAGGCGCAGTGCTCATGCCTATAATCCAAGCACTTTGGGAGGCTGAAATGGATGGATGGCTTGAGCCCAGTAGTTTGAGACAAGCCTGGCAACATAGCGAGACCTCATCTCTACAAACATCTTTAAAATATGCCAGGCATGGTGGTGCATGCCTGTAGTCCCAGCTATTCAGGAGGCTGAGGTGGGAGGATCACCTGTGCCCGGGAGTTCAAGGCTGCAGTGAGCTATGATCACACCACAGTGCTCCAGCCTGGGCAACAAAGCAAGACTCCATCTCTAAAAATAAAATAAAATTAAAAAAAAAGATCTTCGCTGTAAAAGAGGTACGCTCAAATGCAATAAAAGCATATAAGAAGGCCGGGTGTGGTGGCTCATGCCTGTAATCCCAGCACTTTGGGAGGCCGAGACGGGCGGATCACGAGGTCAGGAGATTGAGACTATCCTGGCTAACGCGGTGAAACCCCATCTCCTCTAAAAGTACAAAAAAATTAGCTGGGCTAGGTGGCAGGCGCCTGTAGTCCCAGCTACTCAGGAGGCTGAGGCAGGAGAATGGCATAAACCCGGGAGGCAGAGCTTGCAGTGAGCCTAGATCGCACCACTGCACTCCAGCCTGGGTGACAGAGCAAGACTCCGTCTCAAAAAAAAAAAAAAAAAAGAAAAAGAAAAGAAAAGTTCTTCTGACATTTGTGTATGAAATCAGCCTTCACTACATGGATAGGACCAGCACGCTTCTGCGGCACGACTCTGCAATCTTACTACATTTTTTTTTACTTTGTATTTTATTTATTCCTTTTGAGACAGAGTCTCACTCTGTCACCCAGGCTGAAGTGCAGCCGAGATCTCGGCTCACTGCAACCTCCACCTCTTGGGTTCAAGCAATTCTCTTGTCTCAGCCTCCCAAGTAGCTGGGACTACAGGCACACGTCAAAACGCCCGGCTAATTTTTGTATTTTTAGTAGAGATGGAGTTTTGCCATATTGGTCAGGCTGGTCTCGAACTCCTGACCTCAGGTGATCGACCTGTCTTAGCCTCCCAAAGTGCTAGGATTGCAGGTGTACATTTATTTATTTATTTGAGATGGAATCTTGCTCTGTATTTATTAATTTATTTATTTGAGATGGAGTCTTGCTCCATCGCCCAGGCTAGAGTGCAGTGGTGCAATCTCGGCTCATTGCAACCTCTGCCTTCCAGGTTCAAGCGATTCTCCTGCCTCAGTGTCCCAAGTAGCTGGGATTACAGGTGCCTGCCACCACAGCTGGCTAATTTTTGTATTTTTAGTAGAGACAGTGTTTCACCATCTTGGCCAGGCTGGTCTCGGGCTCCTGACCTCATGAACCACCTGCCTCAGCCTCCCAAAGTGTTGGGATTACAGGCCTAAGGCACCATGCTCGGCCATATTTATTTATTTAATTATTTAGAGACAAAGTCTTGCTCTGTCACCCAGGCTGGAGTGCAGTGGCACCATCTCAGCTCACTGCAGCCTCCGCCTCCGAGGTTTAAGCAATTCTCATGCCTCAGACTCCTGAGTAACTGGGACTACAGATACTTGCCACCACGCAGGGATTTTTTTTTTCTATTTTTTTGTAGAGACACAGTTTCACCATGTTGGCCAGGCTGGTCTCGAACTCCTGACCTTAGGTGATCTGACAGCCTCGTCCTCTCAAAGCACTGGGATTACAGGCATGAGCCCCTTGCCCGGCCTCTCACTACGTTTAAGTGACGCCATGGCTCATGCCTGTAATCCTAGCACTTTGGGAGGCCAAGGCAGGTGGATCACCTGAGGTCAGGAGTTCGACACGAGCCTGGCCAACATGGGGAAACCCTGTCTCTAGTAAAAATACAAAAATTAGTCAGGCGTGGTGGTACAAGCCTGTAGGCCCAGCTACTTGGAAGACTGAGGCAGGAGAATCACTTTAACCGGGAGGCAGAGGTTGCAGTGAGCCAATATCATGCCACTGCACTCCAGCTTGGGTGACAGAGTGAGATACTGTCTCAAAAAAAAAGAAAAAAAAAGAGAAAAACATATGATGCCGGGGCATCTCGGCCTCAATACCTGGGTGAGCACAGTCATGTCCAGGCCAGGGCTGCTGGTCGAGGTCCGGCCCCATCTCTTCCAGCAGAAAGGGAGTAAGCTTGCAGGGCGGCTGGGGGACAAGATCCCAGGATCTCAGCCTCTGCTCATGGATCAGCTCTGAGACCCCGAGTGAGCTGGGGTGCTCTGTGCGCGTTGGTTTCCCCAGCTGTCAAGTAAAGGGATTGGATGAGGAAGTCTTGTCAAGGTGGAATGATCTCAGATTTGGGGCAGCAGTGAATGATCCCGTTCCCTGGGCCATGCCAGTGGCCCGGCCTCGGCTCAACACAGCCCCAACACTCTGGAATGGGGATGAGGGGGCAGTCAGCTCTTGCTCCTAGTAAGAGAGAAGCAACAGGGCTCTGTGGCTGAGCTGGGTGCCTTGCCTCACACCTGTAATCCCAACCTTTGAGAGGCCGAGGCAGGAGGATTGCTCGAGGCCGGGAATTTTGAGAATAGCCTGGACAACATAGCCAGACCCCATGTCTACAAAATAATAAGAAAACACACAGCTATAGTCCAAGCTACTTGGCAGGCTGAGGCAGGAGGGTCCCTTGAGTCCAGGAATTGGAGGCTGCATTGAGCTATAATCGCACCACTGCACTCCAGCTTGGGTGACAAAGTGAGACCCTGTCTCTAAAAGAAAAAAAAATTGGCCTGTGAGCATGGGCTTGATTTTCAAACAGGACCCGGAGGGTAGGGTAAACATGTGGGTAAATCTAAATGAATGTTATTGGTATAAAATTACAGTAGTATAGAAAATGATATCTTGTGGGGTTTAAAAGAAATAAAACATACTGAAATATGTATGGGTACAGTTATATATCTGGGATTTGCACTGAAATAATGTGGGGTAGAGGGAAGCAGGAAAGAGTATACATGAAATGAGCTTGGCCATAAGATTGTTGTTGAAATTGAATGGATACTCGGGGCTTCATTACACAATTCTCTTTACTCTTACATAGCTCTACACTCTCAACATAAATAAGAATAAAAACACAAAAAACACACAGATACATCTATGCACACACACATATTTAAAATACACAAAAATATTAGCATATAAGTCACTGGGGGTAAATTTAGTTCCTGTTCCAAGGTTCTTGTACTGACTAGGAAGAGGATAGAAGTACTAACTCATAGGCTGGGTGCGGTGGCTCACGCCTGTAATCCCAACACTTTAGGATGCCGAGGTAGGCAGATCTCTTAAGGTCAGGAGTTCAAGACCAGCCTGGCCAACATGGTGAAACCCTGTCTCTACTGAAAAAGAATACAAAAATTGGCCGGGCATAGTGGTGCACACCTGTGGTCCCAGCTACTCAGGTGACTGAGGCAGGAGAATTGCTTGAACCCAAGAAGTGGAGGTTGCAGTGAACCAAGATTGCTCCACTGCACTCCAGCCTGGGCAGCAGAGGAAGACTCTCTCTATCTCAACCACAACAAAAAGTACTAGCTCATGTTAGACTTTGATAAGTGAAGGATGCGTGTTGTAAGCTCTAAAATAATCCAGTCATCTTTTAAAAGAACTCTAAGACTGCACAGTTATGAAACTAATAGAGAAGGAGGAAATTAAATAATAAAAATAATAAATCCAAAACAAGATGTGAGAGGAGATAAGAAGAAATAGAATAGGCATGGAAAACAAATTGGTGGTGGGTTTCAACCCAAATAAATCATTAGTTACATTTAAAAGGACAATAAAAATTAAAATAATTGAAAATAAAGTAAAACCCAACTAATGCCTTTTATATAAGGATACAGAGAGGTGGAAGATCATGAAAAATATGTCATGCATGTACTAACCAAGAAAGCTGTATAACTTTTTTTTTTTTTTTTTTTTTTTTTTGGAGATAGAGCCTCACTCTGTCTCCCAGGCTGGAGTGCAGTAATGTGATCTTGGCTTACAGCAATCTCTCCCTTCTAGGCTCAAGCGATTCTCCCACCTCAGCATCCCAAGTAGCTGGGACTACAAGTGTGCCAACTTAGAATTATATTAGCCACACCCAGCTAATTTTTGTATTTTTTGTAGAGGCAGGGTCTCGCCATGTTGCCCAGGTTGGTCTTGAACTCCTGGGCTTCAGTGATCCACCCACCTCGACCTCCAGCAAAGTGCCAAGATTACAGCCATGAGCCACCATGCCCAGCATAACTATTTTTAATGAAGTAGACTTTAAGAAGAAAAGTATTATTAGAGGTAAGAGACACATCACAGAAAAGAAGAATTTACTAGGAGCCAGGCGCAATGGCTCGTGCCTGTAATTCCAGCACTTTGTGAGGCCAAGGCGGCGGATCACCTGAGGTTGGGAGTTCAAGACCAGCCTGACCAACATGGAGAAGCCCTGTCTCTACTAAAAATACAAAAATTAGCCAAGCATGGTGGCACATGCCTGTAATCCCAGCTACTCAGGAGGCTGAGGGAGGAGAATTGCTTGGACCCAGGAAGTGGAGGTTGCGGTGAGCTGAGATTGTGCCATTGCATTCCAGCCTGGGCAACAAGAGCAAAACTCTGTCTCAAAAAAAAAAAAAAAAAAAAGAAGTTACTAGCTAGTTTCGGTAATTCTTAACAACCAGGAAACTGGATGTGAAAGTTTTTCAGAGAAACTAAACCAATAGATTATACATAGAGAGAGATTTATTTAGGAATTGGCTCACATGATTGTGGGGACTAGCAAGTTTTAAAATCTGTAGGGCAAGCCAGCAGGCTATAAATTCAGGTAAGAGTTGATCTCGAAGTCTGGAACCTAAAATCTGTAGAGCAGTCAGCAGGCCAGAAACTCAGGCAGGGTTTGTGTGTTACAGTCTTGAAGCAGAATTCCTGCTTCTCTGGGAAACCTCAGTTTTTGTTCTTAAGGCCTTCAACTGATTGGAGGTGGCCCACCCATATTATGGTGGGTAATCTGTTTTACTTAAAGTCAATTGACTGTCAGTGTTAATCACATCTATGAAATAACCTCCCAGCAAGATATTGACAAGTATTTGACCAAACAACAGGACACCATAGCTTAGCCAAGTTGACACATAAATTAACCATCAGGAGCAAGTAGAATATCCAAAAAACAACATACTAGGGGTATTATATCTTATATAGCTATTATAATTATATAAAACATATAATTATAGAATGACGATATTAAGATAACCATTAGAACAAAAATATAAACTTTTCTTTCTTTCTTTTTTTTTTTTTTTGAGACCAAGTCTTGCTCTGTCACCCAGGCTGGAGTGCAGTGGTGCAATCTTGGCTTACTGCAACCTTTGCCTCCTGCGTTCAAGTGATTCTCCTGTCTCAGCCTCCCAAGTATCTGGGATTACAGGCACCTGCTACCATGCCCAGCTAATTTTTGTATTTTTAGTAGAGACATGGTTTCACCATGTTGCCCAGGCTGGTCTCCAACTCCTGACCTCAAGTGAGCCACCCCCCTCGGCCTCCCAAAGTGCTGGGATTACAGGTGTGAGCCACCACACCCAGCCAAAAATCACCTTTTTTACAAGGATCAAAACAGTCATTATGCTGGAGATGACAGACCTCACTGTCACCATGCTCCTTTTGTATGTCTACTAGGCACGGTGCTGGGTCCACACTCACAGAAACCTTAGGAACTCGCACCCAGGGGCTCCGGCTGTAGCAGAATCCCAAGAATAAAACCTGGTGCTGAAAGAGTAGGAGATGAGGCCGGGTGCCATGACTCACTCCTGTAATGCCAGCACTTTGGGTGGCCAAGGCGGGTGAATCAAGAGATAGAGACCATCCTGGCCAACACGGTGAAACCCTGTCTCTACTAAAAATACAGAAATTAGCGGGGCGTGGTGGCTGGCACCTGTAGTCCCAGCTACTCAGGAGGCTGAGGCAGGAGAATCATTTGAACCGAGGAAGCAGAGGTTGCAGTAAGCTGAGATCGCGCCACTGCACTCCAGCCTGGTGACAGAGTGAGACACCGTCACAAAAAAAAAAAAAAAAGCAGGACACTGAACTCTGGGAGGGCCTCCTGGTGAGAGGTGAGCACAGAGGGGAGAGATGGAGGCAGGAGCATGGGCTTCTGGTGGCCCCAGCAGACCCTGTGGCAGCGTGGCCAGGGTCCTCTGCAGGGAGGAATCTTGGCCAGGATGACGCTGTAGCAGGCCTCTTCCTGAGGCCTCCAGCCAGCCCGGCCAGGGTCCCAGCGTCCAGTGACCCCTGTTTCACAGCAGCAGCTGGGGCCAGCCCCAGGCTCTCTTCCACTCCCAGCTTCTTAAAACTGGAAGTGGAGAGAGTTGTTTGATGAAACACTGGGGCAAACCACATCCTCTCTTCACCAAGGGAGAGTTCGAGGGGATGCCGGCAGAGGGAGCTTTAGAGTAGAGACCCCTACCCAACCAGTGACCGTCACGCACACAGCAGGGCATGCTATGGAGACCCCCAGACAGTCACTCGGGGAGACCCAGCAGGTCCAGACTCTTCAGAGATCTGTGGCAGCAGGTCCCCACTCCCAAAAGCCACGTGCCCACGGGTGGTCTCTGGTGCCTGAGACCCCAGTCTCATTTGCATCTTTGCAACTTCGAGTTTAAGTGGGTGTCGCATCTCTGTATGTCCTCCCGAGCAGAGGAGGGGCACAGCCTGGGGTGGCAGCTGGCGTCAAACCCTCAAATCCCCTGAGAGCCACTGGGGAGACTAAGCAGTCCCCAGCCCCCACTTGTCCCTGAGCTGCCATTCTCAGCCCTGTGGGAGGAGACAGAAAGCCCTGAAGAGAAACCAAAGGACCAGGTCAGGAGGGGCTGGGGGGGTGGCATGAGCAATCAGGGCAGGGAAGGATGCACAGATGGGGGAATGGAGGGAAGAAGGAATGAATGAAAAGGTGAATGAATGAACAAAGAGAGAGAACGGCCACTCCTCCCTTGCTTTAGTTTACAAAGTACTGGGATCCTCCCAACAGCCTGCAAGACAGAATTTCTGGGAAGCAGACCAGGTGGCTGGCAGGGAGGGGAGGCTTGCCCTGGCTTTTGTGGGCCCAATGGGAGGCAGGGGGCAAGAAGGGGCATCCTGTGTGTGTCCTCCCTGCAGCGGCAGCAGCACCTTCCTGGAAGAGGGTCAGGAAACACCCGCTGTGGCCCCTCTCCACCACGCCCTCATCCAGGACACCAAGTATCAGTCACTCAGCTCACGAGACCCAGGCCCTGACTCAGGGAGAGAGGATGTGAGGGGTGGGGCACCGGGCTCCTCAGGACTGAGAGACCTGAGATGTGGCCCCGGGCTGGGTGTAGGGGCAGACTGGCTATGGCAGCATTGTGTGTACCCCAGCAGGCCAGTACCCACGCAGGGAGCCTCCAAACCCCTTCACCCATGACCCTGGGAGAAGACCGCAGCCTTGGAGAATTGGCCTCACTGAAGGGGCCTGCGCCGGCCAGCAGGGTCAGGCGGGGCCAGACAGGTTCCCACCTGGGATATGCAAATGGGCCTCCTGAATCCTGGAGCCAGGTATGGACTCACACACCACCATTGTCCCCAAGTCCCCATCTGCCCCACGGGCACACCCTGCCGCCTGTTCTGTGCAAGGGCCCTGAGGCTGTCTCCTTGCGCTCAAGCCCTGCAGGTGCTGAAGCCCACACACACGGCTCCTGCTTCCTGGGCCAGTGCACGTGCACACACACACACGTGCACACACACACACACCCCCACAAATATACCCACACACAATCACACACATTCACACATACCCACCCCCCCATACTCACACTCACACATTTACACACACCCACACACCCACACTCACACACTCACAGTCACACACACCCTCACACAGCGAAACACAATCACACACATTCACACCCACCCACACCCCCACACACTCACACTCACATATACTCACACACACCCACACACACATACACAAACACAATCACACACATTCACACACACCCACACTCACACATACACACACCCAAACACGATCACACACATTCACACACACCCACACCCCACAAACACACTCACACATATACCCACACACACTCACACATAATCTCTCACACACACACATGCTCACACACACACGCCTTCTCCAGGAGGGGCTGGCTGCCAAAGGCCACCCAGCTTCCTCCCACGTCTCACTCACCGTACAATATTTGAGAAGACCTTGGAGTCAGCAGCAACAGCGGCGTGGGCAAAGGCCGGGGGTCAAATGGGGCCTGGTGTCGAGAGAGGACCACAGCCAGCACAATGACAGCCAGCGCCAGCCCCAGCCCCAGCCCCAGCAGGACCAGGTCACCCATGGCTCCGTAGTCCTGGGCCATGGCTCTGCGGCCCAGAAGGAGAGGGGAGGCCGGTGGGCAGACGGAGGGACAGATGGGTGGGCAGATGAATGGACAAGAAGATGCATAGATAGACTCACAGGTAATTGGACAGATGGACAAACAGGTGGGGGCTGAAGACAGACACGAAGATGGATCGACAGACAGGCCAGATAGCTAGACAAAGAGGACAGTAAGAGAAAGATGGTCAGATAGACAATGGGACAGAGATGGGCTTACAGATGGGCGGACAGACAGACGGGTCTGAACAGCGGGCTGCCAGATGGACAGATGGGTGAATGGACAGATGGCTGGCAGCTGTGGCGAGCTGCTGCCCTCACCAAGTGCACACTACGGAGTGGCGAAACTCATGCCTCAACTTCTAGTTTTCAGCTCCTGCTTGTTCCTGGCAGGAGGCCAGGCAGCAAAGCGTCTGAGGGGAGTTTTCTTTGCCTAGAGAAGTCAGCTGCTGTGTTAACTCCCTCACTGCTGGTAGGTCCAAAGGCCCCACCTACTGCCCGCCAGAGCCCATGGTCACACTGTCGCAATGTGCAGGAGAACTTGGTGCGTGCTGCACTGCGGTTGCCAGGTAGGGGCAGGGCTCCCTGGAACCTCCACACCATTCCCCAGGTTCTCAGCAGCTCTGGGAAAGCAGAGCTGGGGCCGCTTAACTCTGCCCTGGATCCGGCAAGGCTGCCCCCCTCCCAGAGTGGAGCCCTGCTCCCCAGCTCCCATCTCTATCCCCTAACCCTCTCCGCATGGCCCAGCCTAGTCAGCATCAAGGTGGAGCTGAACAGAGGCAGAAGGAGGAGGACCCAAGGTGGTGTCACTCAGGACCCGGGTTCAAGTCCTTATGTTTCTGCAGCCTGGCCTGGGTCCCCCAACCCCCCCAGGGTGACCAAGGGCTTCCCAGTCTGCACAGAGGACAGGGGGTCTTGACAGCATCAAATGCTGGTGACTATGAGACACTTACATGGGAAATGCAGACAGACCATGCCTCTAGCCCTTGGCACCAGGCACCATCCATCCCTGGGACTTGCTGTCCTGGAAATGCAGCATGGACCTCCAGGGAGGGGGGCTGTGCCATGTGGGGGCCCCACCCCACCTGCAGCTCTTTCCCACCCTGGCTGCAGGTCTGCTTCTCTGAATCCAAATCCGCTACTACTGTGCTGGCAGCGCAGCCTCTCTGGGGACACTGGCCTGGCTCTGTTCTCCCCAGGCCTCAGGGTGCCTAAATGGGAGGCAACCAGGGGAGTGAGGACCCACTGAGGGGCTCCGTTGACCAGGCTCAGCAGGGGTGCAGGTGATGTGGGGTGGAATCCTTCCCACATGGCCCCCACAGTCCTCCCCGCTTCCTCCCCAACTGAACACTGCCTGCTCCAGATGTGTACACCTGGAGTCTGGGCCCCTCCATCTGGGCAGCAGAGAAACTGAGGCACAGAGACAGACTGTGTCCTTACAGGGCACACAGCCTGCCAGGCCCCTATGTCCGGCCAGAGCCCCTGGTCAGCCTGGGCTGCAGTGATTGTTTAGAGGTAGGCTGTTCCCACGGCTGCCTCTCACGGTAGGGGGGCCTGCGGACGCCTCCTCCCGCCCCCACCCGACTCCCAAGCCTCAGTGACATTGCTCAACCAGGAACTGAAGTGCATTCCTGGGCTCAGGCCAGCCCACCCACCCACCCGCTGCAGTCCTGGAAGCCCAGAGGCCTGGGCAGCAGGAACAGTGGAGACAGCAGTGTGGGGGACGTCCCCCCTCCTCTCCCCACCATCCTCGTCAGGCAGAGGCCAGGGTGCAGGGACCACCGGAGCAAAGGCCCAGGGAAATGAATGGGTGTCATTCTGGTCCTGACCCGAGGCACAGCCAGGAAGGTCCCTGTGGGGAAAAGAAAGAGATATCAGACTGTTACTGTGTCTATGTAGAAAGAAGTAGACGTAAGAGGCTCCATTTTGTTGTGTAGTAAGAAAAATTCTTTTGCCTTGAGATGCCGTTAATCTGTAACCCTAGCCCCAACCCTGTGCTCACAGAAACATGTACTGTGTCGACTCAAGGTTTAATGGATTCAGGGCTGTGCAGGATGTGCTTTGTTAAACAAATGCTTGAAGGCAGCATGCTTGTTAAGAGTCATCACCACTCCCTAATCTCAAGTAAGCAGGGACACAAAACACTGCAGAAGGCCGCAGGGACCTCTGCCTAGGAAAGCCAGGTATCGTCCAAGGTTTCTCCCCAGGTGACAGTCTGAAATATGGCCTCGTGGGAAGGGAAAGACCTGACCGTCCCCCAGCCCGACACCTGTAAAGGGTCTGTGCTGAGGAGGATTAGTAAAAGAGGAAGGCCTCTTTGCAGTTGAGATAAGAGGAAGGCATCTCTCTCCTGATCGTCCCTGGGCAAAGGAATGTCTCAGTGTTGATTGTATATTCCATCTGCTGAGATAGGAGAAAACTGCCTTAGGGCTGGAGATGGGACATGCTGGTGGCAATACTGCTCTTTAATGCATTGAGATGTTTATGTATATGCACATCAAAGCATAGCACCTTTTTCTTAACCTTGTTTATGACACAGAGACATTTGTTCACGTGTTTTCCTGCTGACCCTCTCCCCACTATTACCCTATTGTCCTGCCACATCCCCCTCTCTGAGATGGTAGAGATAATGATCAATAAATACTAGGGAACTCAGAGACTGGTGCCAGCGTGGGGCCTCCGTATGCTGAGCGCAGGTCCCCTGGGCCCACTTTTCTTTCTCTATACTTTGTCTCTGTGTCTCTTTCTTTTCTCAGTCTCTTGTCCCAGCTGATGGGAAACACCCACAGGTGTGGAGGGGCAGGCCACCCCTTCAGGTCCCTGAATGTCCTTCCTCAGGAAATGATGGGGGAAGGGGTGATGAGAATGAAGGAGACGATTTAAGTCCCTCACCCCCCGAGGTAGTCCTGGGCTGAGCCCCATGGGACCTAGAGAACCAGGGTGTACCCCACCAGCGTGTCGGGTCCAGGAAGCCTCGTGGCCAGCTCCCACTTCTCTTCCTGCTGTGCAACCCAGAGCAAGGCCTGCCCCTCCAGCTTCAGTCTTCTCCCCTGCAAATGGGGCCACGGCCTTTCCTCTCAGGCCAATATAAGGATTGAGGCCGGGTGCAGTGGCTACCCCTGTAATCCTAGCACTTTGGGAGACTGAGATGGGGGGACTGCTTGAAGTCAGGAGTTAAGACCAGCCTGGTCAACATAGTGAGACCCCATCTCTATTGGTTTAAATTTTTTTAAAAAAATTAAATAAATAAAATAAGGATTGAAGAGTGACTTGTACACCAGTTGAGCCCACCTCCATCTCACCCTTGCAGAGCCCCAGAGACACAGCCCTCCAGAGCTCAGACCCAGTGGGACTTGACTCCACAGGCATAAAACCCTGTTTGTCTATGGGCCCTTTGGAATCACCAGGTTTTCGGGGCTCCTGAAGGATAGCCCCGACCTGGCCTCACCTGGCCCCTGGCCCCAGTGCCCCTGGTGATATCCAGGTGCTGGGCTGTGATCACCGCCTCCCACCAGCCCACCTCCACCAGCCCTTCCCAGAACCCTGCTCCAGGTGTTGGAACTGTGCACAGAGGAGGGAGCAGGCCCCGAGGGAGGCCTGGAGGGGCTGCCAATGGTGAAGGCTGCTGTGTCGAGCTGTTTCCTTCCGGACCCACTCCCTCTGGGCTGCGTCCCCGGCTGGTCCAAGCCCTGATCCCTGGGATCTGGGGACATCTTCCCGTTTGCTGTTCCCTGAGAACCAGGCCTCCCTCTGGAGAGGATCACAAGCTTGGGTTTCACTCTGGGCTTGCTCTTGGGAACCCCCCAGGGGCATGGCTCTGACCGAGATGTTTTCCTCCAGCCTGTTGCCCAGTCCCCATTCCTCGGACCCTCAGCTTCACCTCCAGTGTCATCGGCAGGGTGAGCTGGACGCCTACGGGTCTGAGAAGGCGCCCGGGTTCCCAGCATCGGCTGGCCACCCTCTGCCTAAGAAAGCGCCAGGGTCGTGACACCCCCTGGTGGCTGATCCTAGGTAGTGTCACTGCCCAGCCCCAGTAAGGGAGGGCCTGGCCCCAAAGTCTGAGGGATCAGGGTGGGAAGGGGCAGGGTTTGGTGTGAACCTTCCCCTGGCCCCCAGCCATGTGCCTTGCTCTCCCCATGCTGAAGATGCTGAGGCTAGTTCCAGTGTCCGCATTGTGAAGATCTCCGAATCCCACCTCTCTGTTCCTCCCCAGCCAGATGGCTCCATTTCACACACAATACACTGAGGCCCAGAGAGTGGGGAGACAGGCCAGGGAGGCCACCTGGAGCCTGGCACAGTGGCCTCATTTATTATGCTGCTCTGCTGCTCACAGGGGAAGCCCGTCCCCCAAAGTCCTCTTCCTCATCCTGGTGAGTATCTTGTCCCTGGATTGCTTGTCAGCCTTGTCTGCCTGGAGCACTCAGTAGCCAGCAGGTTCCCCGCCTTTCCTGGAGTCCGAGGCAGCTGCCCAGCCACCAGCCGTGCGGACGATGGCTTGCACCACAGCGATGAAGGTGGACGCGATCTGGGTGTGATGGTGCCGGGTCTCCAGGGCTGCAGTCACTGCCTGGGGGTGGGAGGAGAGGGGAAGCCTGAGCAGGGCTCCAGATGCCACCTGAACCACACCTGTGTGGTCACAGGCCTCAGCCCAGGTGGTGCCATTTCAGGCCAGGTCATCAGGAAGAGCAGGTTGGGGCCTGCTGGGTCTCACTGGAGCAGGGGGCTTGGCTCTCATGTCACAGGGGCTCCAGATGGCCCAGGCACTAGAGAGAGGACACCAACCATTGTCCACTCTGTGATGATCCAGGCCTCCAGCCCAGGATGCCCTGGGACCCCACACCGTGACTCAGTTTCTCCAACCCCTGGCCCACCTGGTCAATGTTTCTCTCCACTGTCGTGACGTTGGGCAGAAGCTTGTTGTGCAGCCGGGGCTCCTCCACGGCCCTCTTCACGTCATAGCCGAACCAGAGGTTGTAGATGATGGCCTGGGGCATGGGAGTGTGATCAGCGTGGCTTGGGGGCTGTGCAGAGTGGGCAGGGCCAGGGAGAAAAGGGGTGACACATACCAGTGCAGTGTCTGTGGTGATCTGCGTGCCCCCAGCAGCTCCCACCACCATCCGGACCTGGCCGTCCTGGCCCACCATGATCGTCGGGCACATGGACAAGAGCGGCTGCTTCCCTGCGGCCGATGGGAGAAGACAGGGATGCCCGTCAGCTGCCTGCCCAGGACACCCGCCCCTCTCCACCCCAGTCCCCCACCCCCCGGACCTCCACCCCATACCTGGCTGGATGAAATTGGCAGGTGAGGGGGGTGCCCCAAACTCATTGGTGAATGCTGGGAGAGCTGAAGTCGTCCATTCATTATTGAACAGGATCCCACTGACCGGGGAGCAGACCTTGGAGCCAAAGCTACCGCCCAGCCAGGTCAGACAGCACCCGACCTTGCCTGGCCCAGCCTGGTCCCTATCCACCCACTGAGGCTCAAACATACTCACTGAGAGGCCCAGGATAAGCTACCAAGGTTGGGCCTCAGTTTCCCACCAGGAAAAGAGGTGATGGAGCCACCTTACTGGATAAGTGGGCAGTCCCTGGGCCACCCGCCCCTGGCCCTTTCCCACCCAGGCGGCCCAGCAGCCCCTACTAGAGGTTGATGGTGCTGGTGGCGGACACAGCACTGCCGTCCTCTGCGACGACAGACAGGTGAGCAGTGCCCCCGTCATCCGGCGTGTAGAACTCGGGCTTGTAGTAGGAGATCGGGTGAGTGGTGTGGTCAGAGATCTGGGACCGGAGCTGGGCAGTGAAGAACTCAGAGGTCATGTTGCGGACCACCTGCTGAGACCCCAGAGCTGGCCTGAGGAGGTGGGGAGGGGGCACAGGTCTCAGAAGGCCCTTGACTGTGACTCTGACCGCAACCCTCTGGCACCCACAACCTTCCGTGGCTCCCCAGGACCCAAGGGCAGGCCCAAGACCTTGCATGACCAGTCTGACTCCCTGTCTCTGTCGCGTTCCAGCAACTCTGAATGTCTGTCTGCCTGGTCCTCAGCCTCCAGACCCTTGCCGCATTCAATCACTCATTCTTTCATGCAAAAAATATTTCTAGAATTTGCACTGCATGCCTGGCACTGGGGAATCAACAGGGAACAGACACTTAGGTCCTGCCCTCATGCCAAGAAAAACAAACACACACAGGGAAAGTGCTGAAACCACAGGCCAGGTAAGGGGAATCAAGAGGCATGAGGTATGGGCAGAGTGGTCAGGGAGGGCTTCTCAGAGGAGGCAACGTGTGAAAAGAGCCTGGAATGTGGCCTAAATGGTCAGTGCAAAGGCCCTGAGGCAGGTGGCATAGGCTGGTGAGCGATAGGCAGAGAGTGAATGGAGTAGGGTGGGGAGAAGAGGATGAAGATGCAGGCTGGGGCCCATCCCACAGGACCTCCTAGGTCCCATAACAACTGGCTTTTGCTCTGTGCCATGCAGGCTTAGGGCAGAGGAATGAGGAGGCTGGGGAGTGTTTTCACAGGGTCCCTCTGGCAGCTATGACGGGGATAAGGATAAAGCCCAAAGGGGAGGCTGTGGGTATCAACCAGGCAAGAGATGATGGCCTGGGTGGGAGAAAGAGAAGAATCAAGCATGGTGCCGACTAGCGAGGCCGGCAGAAGGGGCCGGTTTGGGGATGGTCAGGAGCTTGATTTTGGATACTTCATCAGACCCAAAGAGCATGGGTGCACGTATAAAAAAAATAAATAAATAAGCATGGGTTCACGGGCAAGGGCGGGCTGAGAGATGAACATGGAGGTATTGACATTGAGTGGCTGCTGGATGCCATGAGCCTGGCCAAGGTCCCCAAGGCAGTGGCGAGGAGGAGATGAGGAGGTCAAAGAGGAGACAGAGAGGATGGACCCGAAGGCCGAAGAAAATGCCTCAAGAGAGTTTCAACACCGGGCGCGGTGGCTCACGCCTGTAATCCCAGCACTTTGGGAGGCCGAGGCCTGTAATCCCAGCACTTTGGGAGGGCGGATCATGACGTCAGGAGATCGAGACCATCCTGGCTAACACAGTGAAACCCCGTCTCTACTAAAAATACAAAAAATTAGCTGGGCGCGGTGGTGGGCACCTGTAGTCCCAGCTACTTGGGGGGCTGAGGCAGGAGAATGGCGTGAACCTGGGAGGCGGAGCTTGCAGTGAGCCGAGATCCCGCCACTGCACTCCAGCCTGGGGGACAGCCTGGGGGACAGAGCGAGACTCCGTCTCAAAAATAAAATAAAATAAAATAAAGTTTCAGCAACACCCCACGGATTAGTTGACCAATCCCAGGGAAAGGTGTTCTGTCTGAATCTGCCCTCAAGGAAACAGAAAGGCAAATCCACGATGTGGGACATTTTCCAAGACTACTGCCCTGGGCTTTAAAAATCAACAAAACAGGCCAGGCACGGTGGCTCATGCCTGTAATCCCAGCACTTTGGGAGGCCGAGGCAGGCGGATCACGAGGTCAGGAGATCGCGATCACGGTGAAACCCCGTCTCTACTAAAAATACAAAAAATTAGCTGGGCGCAGTGTCGGGCGCCTGTAGTCCCAGCTACTCGGGAGGCTGAGGCAGGAGAATGGCGTGAACCCAGGAGGCGGAGCTTGCAGTGAGCCGAGATAGCGCCACTGCACTCCAGCCTGGGCAACAGAGCGAGACTCCGTCTCAAAGAAAAAACACACCTGTAATCCCAGCGCTTTGGGAGGCTGAGGTGGGAAGACAGTTTGATCCCAGGAGTTTGAGACCAGTCTGGGCAAGACCCTGTCTCTAAAAAAAATACAAAAATTATCCAGGTTTGGTGGCACGTGCCTCTGGTCCCAGCTGCTCAGGGGGCTGAAGTGGGAGGATTGCTTGAGCCCTGGAGGTTGAGGCTGCAGTGAGCCAAGATCACACCACTGTACTCCAACCTGGATGACAGAGACTCTGTGTACAAACAAAAACACAACAAAAACAAAACAGCCAAGGGAGCCTACTGTAGGTAAAGAGAAGGGACAGCAGGTTGTGTCACCCCGACATCCTGCTGTGCTATGTTCAAGTCTCACTTTTGAGACACATCCTGAGGTGCGACATCAGTAACCTACTGTGGAATCCCTCAGAAAAACACGAATCCCAATAGATGTGGGTGGAGACGGAGAGAGTTAGGAAATCCGGCAGAAATGTCCACACTGCAGAATCCAGGAAAAGGGAACATTGATGCTTGGGCAGTTTTGGGTTTTTTTTACATTTTTGCAGGTGCGAAAATTTGCAAAATGAAAACTCGAGGAGAGTGTGGTGAGCTGTGTGAGATGCTGCTGAGTGGGGCCTGATGGGGAAACTGAGGCTGGACATGGCGATCTGGTGGCATGGGGATAGAGCAGGGGAGGGGATACCCTGAAGGGAGAGAGGACATAGCCCAGCCATGTTTGCTCTAAGAGGAGCAAAGGACAGAAGGAGGCAGCAGATAGAAGTTTCTAGAGCAACAACAGCTGCCTTTTTTTTGGGAATAATCCGTGATAAAGAAATAAATCATCAGAGGCAGACAGGAGCATTGTAGGAACAGCACCCCGAGCCAGCGAGTAGATGAAGGAGCTGGCCTTAGCCAAAAAGGAGGGCAGAGGGACACGCTGCAGTGGCTCTGTCCCCTCAGAGAGACAAGACACCAGGTCACTGGCTGCAGCGGGAGTCAGAGGTGCAGAATGCTCACAGGGAAAGAGAAGACACCACCCGGGCAGCTGACGCCCCTCCTGGGAGGTCACTGGTCAGTGTGGGGGGGTCTGCAGATCCGCCCAGGAATGCCAAGGACCCAAGTAGGTAAGGAGGGATGTGAGGATCCTCAGCGGGAAGGGATATGACAGGGTCTTATAGGGACCCAGCATGGAGCTGGGGCAACTACTGGGTGAGTGGGTCAGGTGGTGCAGGGCTGAGGGTGGCATCTGGGAAGCGTTAGTTTGGAGTGACAGGGAGTGGGTGGCCGAGGTCTCTGTTCACCTGGCCCTCTCCCTTTCACCCATCCATCTCACCATGCCTGAGGGCTGCAATGCCCCCATGCATTCCTCATCTCAGCACTGAGCACTCAAGAACCACAGCATGTGCAAAGGACCTGAGGTAGGAGGGTGGCCACTAATTCCCCACACTGTCAGTTCTGTGGGGCAGAAGCCAAGACTGGGGGTCACCCACGAGTCCATCCGAGCACACAGTAGGCCCGCAATCGAATTCTGTGGCAGGAATGGATTCATAAAGCATATGTGAGGTTGTAGCCACCCTGGGGAGCCCACCTGATGCCTCTACGGCAGGCCCCACACCCACAGTGGGCCAGCCCCTGCCCCTTACCTCAGTCACATCCACAAACTTGGGGTCCCCAAGCAGGGTCCTCTTGGCGTAGGCAAACCGGAAAGCCTCTACGATGCGGTAGTACGTCAGGCCCTTCTGCTCGGGGGTCTCCACGCTCTCCCGGGAGAAGTTGTACCCTGGTTGATCAGAGCCAGGTGCATGTTGCTGAGCCCCAGAGGCTCTGAGGGGCTCAGAGGGTTAACACCTGCCTGAGCCACTTTGCCCACCTCAAGGAGCGTTTAATAACCAATAGCAGCAGCTGCTTCAGAAGGCTGTGGTGAGAGTGAAGTAAGGTGAGGGCTCCCGAGCCTGGACCTCACGTCACGCATCAGCTCTGGCCATTCAATGACCAAGTGGCAGGGTCACCCACTGGACCGGGGTACCCTCTGGACCGGCCCTGCAGCCCTGAGCTCCTGCACCTCTCTCCCTCCTGATGACTCCTGTTCCTCCTCCAACCCTTGAGCATTGCCCGCTTCAGCCCTGTTGCTCTGCACTGCCTCCTTCAGGACATGGTGAGCTGTGACGCAGGGACACACCTCAGGAGCTCAGTGATGGAAAGACGTGGCATGGGGGGCGAGCAGAGATGCAGGAGGGGTGGGGCGTGGGGAGAGAGAGGCAGTGTCATGGGTCCTACCACACAGCTGTGGTGCGACCACTCACCTTTGAGGATGTTGAGGATGAGGGCCAGCACGGGCCCGCTGAGCCGCGCACTGGGCATGTACAGCACCGCGTCTCCCAGGCTGATGTTCAGCGGGTGCTCGATCAGCTCAGCACAGTAGTTGTTCAGGTCCTCAGCTGTCACAATGCCCCCTGCAATGGGACAGCAGCTCGAATGGGCGCTGGGATGGGGCTGCACCACTGCGTGGAGGATGGAGCTGCACCAGTGGTGTTGGGGGCAGGCATGGCTGCACCATGGTGGTGGGGAAAAGCCTGTACCTACCAGGGAGGACAGAGTGCACTACTGGAGGGGTGGGACTGTGCCCTGGGAGGGGGCCACAGGCAACCTCACCTCCTTGGGAACCTCACCAGCTCCGGCACTCCTGTCTCCCTGACACTGCTCACCACCCGACAGCTGGGCTGGGGCCACCTGCCCTCTGCCTGCTTGGCTTACTGGCTTCCTGTCTGCCTTCTCTCATCTGTGGCCAGAGAGTGTTTTCTTTTTTCTTTTTTTTTTTAGAGATACGATCTTGCTCTGTTACCCAGGCTGGAGTGCAGTGGCTTAATCACAGCCTTGAACCCCTGGGCTCAAGTGATCCTCCAGCAGACCCTCCCCAGTAGCTGAGACTAAAGGCACAACTACACCCAGCAAATTTTAATTTTTTTGTTGTGTTTTGCTATATTTCTTTCTTTCTTTTTTTTTTTTTTTGTGAGACGGAGTCTCGCTCTATCGCCCAGGCTGGAGTGCAGTGGCGCGATATCGGCTCACTGCAAGCTCCGCCTCCCAGGTTCACGCCATTCTCCTGCCTCAGCCTCCCAAGTAGCTGGGACTGCAGGCACCCGCCACCACACGTGGCTAATTTTTCTGTATTTTTAGTAGAGACAGGTTTCACTGTGTTAGCCAGGATGGTCTCGATCTCCTGACCCCGTGATCCACACGCCTCGGCCTCCCAAAGTGCTGGGATTACAGACGTGAGCCACCGCACCTGGCTCAGAGGGCCTTTTCTAACTGGAGAATTCCTGCCGGTGTCCCTGCTGCTTGGCCTCTTCTCCTCACGATGAATGGATAGAGGGAGGGAGGGAGGCTCTTAATTCTCCTGGAGTCAGCTCCAGACAGGGTATTGGCATGCCAATTTCCAGCCTCAGTGGTAAAGGTCGACACGCTAATCACCCTCCTCCATGAAACAGTGACAAAAATTACCTGAAGAAAGCCACAGCCAAGCTCCAGGCCCCTGCCCCACAAATCCCCTTCCCCATGCCTCTCTCAAGGCGACCCTCATCCCTTGTAACCCTCTTGGTGAATCAAAGCGCCCTCTACTGGGCCTTAGCCCAGCTGTTCCTCTGCTAGGAATCCCTTCCTCTCTCTGCCTAACGAAGTTATCTGCAGCCCAGCCGCCACCTCCTCCAAGAAGTCCTCCTGGATCTTCAGGCTGTATTCTAGTGCTTCCCTAGCCCTGGCTCTTGCCTTCACCTGCATTTACCCCAACAGGGGCTTGCTCTCCTGGACTGTGTGGCCTCTCTTGGTTTTGATATAAGCAGGAGCTGTGGACCCACATGGCCAGTCACTGACCCTCCTCCACCAGGAACTTCCTGCAGGCTCAGGCAAGACAGGAGGACCCCATGGCTCTGGGCTACAGCTCAGGGTTTCCACTGCAGAGTTCCTCACCCAGGTCCTTGAGGTTACCCACTCACCAGCCGCCTGGATGTCCTTCACAATCTGGGCCATGAGGCTGCCGTTGTAGAAGGCCTGGGCACCCTCGATGGCCAGCATCTCGTAGGTGTCAGCCAGCCGCGGCAGGGTCAGTCTCTCCCCCTCCCAAAGCACCTTTCTATCCCGGCAGAACACCTCACTGGGGCAGAGGGGGCTCATGTGAGGCAGCAGGTGGGGTGGACTCAGCTAGACCACCCCTCACACCTGCCCACACAGGAGACCAGCACAAAGCAGGGGCAGCGCCTGTCACAGGTGGGTGGCCCTGTCACTCAGTGCTTGTCCTCCTAGTGTCCCTTCCGGGAGCCTCCTAGTGTCCCTTGCCACTCAGGACACATGGCCAGCCACAGTGGCCACTGGGACCCCACGCTCAGAATGTGTCCCCACACGTGGTGGGAAGGGTCTGTATCTCCTCATCCCATTATCAGCACAGGGTCCTGAAGGCAGAGGGCCGCTCCACTGCTGCTACGGCCTGCAAGGTCCTTGGGCTGTGCCTGCCCTGCCTGTGTCAGGGGGCCGCACCCACAGACATACCACAAGACAGGCTGCTGCTCGATGACGGTCCGCTTGTTTTCCAGGACTGCCGCCAAGCCCTTGCCCACGGGGAAGCCCTGGCGGGCCAGCTGGATGCTGGGCTGGAAGAGGCGAGCCCAGGGCAGCCGCCCATGCCGCTGGTGTGCCAGCTCATAGCCTCGGATCTCCCCAGGCACCGCCACCGACAGCCCTCCTGGGGAGAGAGAGCCACAGTTAGTGACCCTGAGTGGGGGACATCGGGATCTCTCGCAGGCAGCATCCCAGGCACAGTCCCTGACTCGCTTTACAGATGGGGCAATGAGGCTTAGGAGGAAAGATTTTTTTTTTTTTTCTTTTTTGAGTTGGGGTCTTGCCATCTTGCCCAGCCCGATCTCGAACTCCTGGATTCAAGCAATCCTCCCACCTCAGCCTCCTGAGTCGCTGAGATTACAGGCGTGAACAGCACACCTAGCAGAAGGGGATTTTTAACTTTTAAATTTATTTTTTAATTTTAATTGTTTTTTTTTTAGGAGGGGATGTTTAATTTTTTTTTTTTAA
This sequence comes from Homo sapiens, assembly GCF_000001405.40. NCBI lineage: Eukaryota > Metazoa > Chordata > Mammalia > Primates > Hominidae > Homo > Homo sapiens. The sequence continues at coordinate 78,445 of NT_187386.1, read as the reverse complement.
GAGGGGCTCAGCAGCTAGGAGTGTACATGGACCAGGGATGTCTGAGGAGGGTACAGGAGGGGAAGCAGTAGCATGCGGCTGGGTTTTGCTGTCCCAGGATGAGGTGTCTGTCTCTGCAGGTGCCAGCATGTCTAAAATCCTGTGCCAGGCCAGACCCCCTCCCATCTCGCTGACCACAAGGCCTTGTCCTGTAAGACTCATGGGCTCCACCAGAATGTGCCAAAACAAGAGCAGATCCTACCCTGACCCAGGTCAAGCACAGGCCACCTTCAAGACACAGCCAGCCCCAAGAAAGGGCTCCCTTCCCCTTTTCTACTGCCCCAGAGAGGCAAGACTGAGCCTTAACCTCCATCCTGTCCCCTCTCCCAGCCTCAGTTTCTCCATCCAACTATAAGGGTTTTTGTTTGTTTGTCTGTTTTGAGACAGGGTCTCACTCTGTTGTCCCAGCTGGAGTGCAGTGGTGCAATCATGGCTCACTGCAGCCTTGGCTTCCCAGGCTCAAGCGATCCTCCCACCTCAGCCTCTGAAGTACCTAAGACTACAGACATACCCCACTACACGTGGCTTTTTTTTTTTTTTTTTTGAGATGGAGTTTCACTCTTGTTGCCCAGGCTGGAGTGCAATGGCACAACCTTGGCTCACTCCAACCTCCGCCTCCCAAGTTCAAGTAATTCTCCTGCCTCAGCCTCCCAAGTAGCTGGGATTACAGGCATGTACCACCACGCCTTGCTAATTTTTGTATTTTTAGTAGAGACGGGGTTTCACTAGGTTGGTCAGGCTGGTCTTGAACTCCTAACATCAGGTGATCCATCCTCCTCAGCCTCTCAGAGTTCTGGGATTACAGGCGTGAGCCACCACTCCCAGCCTAATTTTTTATTTTTATTTTTTGTAGAGACAGGGGTCTTGCTACGTTGCCAAGACTGGTCTCAAACTCTGGCCTCAAGCAATCCTCCCACCTCAGCCTCCCAACATGCTGGGATTACAGGTGCACTCAGCCTATAAGGGGTTTTGCCTTCCAGTTCTGACTTTTGGGGAGGTCATTGGAAACAGACCCCTGGGCCTGCTTCCCCCCTGAGCCCCACTGCCCATATGGACACTACAGACACTGACCCTTTGCCCAGAAAGGTACAACTATGGCCTCTGCCCCCAGGGACTCTCCTGCTCTTGCGAGAGATGATGGGGCCATTTGCCTTGGCTTGGCGGCTGTGGCTCTAGAACTGCCTCTCCCACCCTGAAGCCTGGCACAAGTTTCCAAGAGCTGGTGGTTTCAATTCCTAGAAGCTGCACATATATCCCGGAAGGTCTGACACCCAGCATATGATTCCTTCCACCTTGTAGTTAGACAGAAGTTCTTTTTTGTTTTGTTTTTTTTTTTCTTTGTTTGTTTTTGAGATGGAGTCTTGCTCTGTCTCCCAGACTGCAGTGCAGTGGCATGATCTCAGCTCACTATAACCTCCGCCTCCCAGGTTCAAGCGATTCTCCTGCCTCAGCCTCCCGAGTAGCTGGGATTACAGGCACAGGCCAGCACGCCAGGCTAATTTTTGTATTTTTACTACAGATGGGGTTTTGCCATGTTGGCCAGGCTGTTTTCAAACTCCTGACCTCAGGTCATCCACCCACCTCAGCCTTCCAAGGTGCTGGGATGACAGGCGTGAGCCACCGTGCCCAGCCAAGACAGGAGAAGTTCTAATCTTTGATAGCAGACCAGGGTGACGATGCTTAGCAACAGTATTTTGTATATTTCAAAGTAACGAAGAGAGGACTATGGTGCTAACACCCAGAAATGAAAAATATTCAAGGTGACGGAGACTCCAAATACCCTGCCTTGATCATTATACACTCTATGCATGGAACAAGCACTCACATGTACCCATAAATATAGAAAATATCATGTATCAATATCAGAAAAAAATCTCCTCCTGACCTCAGCCCAATCAGGCTCTCATGCCACCACACTTGCCAAGTTCTCTGGTGACCCCCACACTGCCAGACCCAGTGCCCCCTCTCAGCTTTACTGGGCTCATCACTCTCCCTGAGAGCCGCCCCTGCATCCCAGCACCTGGCTCCACCCGAGTCTCCCCCGCCTGCCATCCTAGCTCCTACTCTCCCCTCTGTCTTTGCTCTCTCTCCTGGTGGTCTGCTTGACATCTGAGCTTCAGCCTCCATTTATGCACTGACAACTCTCAAATTGACCTGCTGGCCTGGACTGCTCCTCCGATCACCAGACCTGAGGATCTACCTGCCTGCTTGAAGAAAGCATCTCAAACTTCAACGTGCCCAAAACCGAGCTCCTGAGTGTCTGCTCAACCTGCTTCCTGAGAACCCTGCCTGTCTCCATTAGGGTCACCCCATCCTTCCAGGTACAGACAAAAGATCAGGGGTCCCCGGGGACTCCCTACACAAGCGTCACACCCAACCCATCCTCAAATCCACAGGCTCCACTTCCAAGTGTGTCTGTGCAGCGTCAGCCACTTCCCAGCACCCTCTCCACGAATTACTGCAGTGACCTCCGGACAGGTCCCCACATGCTCCCTGCCCCTTACACAGCAATCCAAGGGGTCCATAGACCAGATCCATCCCCTTCCAGTCACACACTCCACGAGCCCCCACTTCCCTCAGACAGGAAGCAGAGGCTTCACCATAACCTAAGAGATCCCGCACAACCTGGGCCATTCCCCTTGGATCACTTGCTGCAGCCTCCCCAGCTCCCCACAGGGCTCTGTCCCTGCCATCACACCTGGATAGCAGACCAGGAGATAACTCCCCTGACCCCATCTCTGCCTCTGGGTCTTTGCTCAGATGTCCCCTTCCCTGACTAGGTCACCCTCCATAGAGTCCCAGATTTTGAGGCCCTCCAGGTCTGTTTTTCTACAGCCCGTAACACACCCGCACTTGCCTAGTTTCTCCTCCCACCTGGAGTGTCACAGATTTCATCTGCCGTCTTTGTTTTTCACCCCAGCTTCAGGAACAACAGCTGATTCTTTAAGACAATGCTCAATACATTCTAGTCAAATAAATGGTTTTAAGCGTCCACAAGGTGCCAAGCCTATGATTCCCGCATTCTCTTACCCTCAGCAACTTCATGTCTACAGATGCTGAGTTTCTCAGTGAGTATTAAAAACAAATGAAAGATTGGTCGGGCACAGTGGCTCACGCCTGTAATTCCAGCACTTTGGGAGGCTGAGGCAGGGGGATCACGAGGTCAGGAGATCGAGGGACCAGCCTGGGCAACACAGTGAAAACCCGTCTCTACTAAAAAATACAAAAAATTAGCTGGGTGTGGAGGCGGGCGCCTGTAGTCCCAGCTACTCGGGAGGCTGAGGCAGGAGAATGGCGTGAACTCAGGAGGCGGAACTTGCAGTGAGCCGAGATCGCACCACTGCACTCCAACCTGGGCGACAGAGTGAGACTCCGTCTCAAAAAAAAAAAAGAAAAAAAAAATCAAAGATTGAGTATGTTGCAGAAGACTCCAAAGGGCACCACCCAGGACCCCCACCTGAAGTCTAAGACCTGCTATGGTGAGTGTGTCCTGCCCCTCCATCCTCCAACTTTTTTTTTTTTTTTTTTTTTTTTGAGACGGAGCTTCGTTCTTGTTGCCCAGGCTGGAGTGCAGTGGCATGATCTCGGCTCACTGCAATCTCTACCTCGTGGGTTCAAGCGATTCTCCTGCCTTAGCCTCCTGAGTAGCTGGGATATTACAGGCCTGTGCCACCACGCCCGACTAATTATTGTACTTTTAGTAGAGAAAGGGTTTCACTATGTTGGCCAGGCTGGTCTTGGACTCCTGACCTAGGTGATCCATCTGCCTCAGCCTCCCAAAGTGCTGGGATTACAGGCGTGAGCCTGTGAAAAAAAGGCCCAGCCTTTTTTTTTTTTTTTTTTTGACAGGGTCTCACTTTGTTGCCCAAGCTAGAGTGTAGTGGTATAATCATGGCTGACTGCAGCCTCAACCTCCTGGGCTCAAGTGATCCTCCCACCTTAGCCTCCCGAGTAACTGGGACCATAAGCACACACCGCCATACCTAGCTAATTTTTTTTTCCATTTTTTGTAGAGATGGAGTCTTGCTATGTTGTCCAGGCAGGTCTCCTGGGCTCATGCGCTCCTCCTGACTTGGCCTCCTAAAGTGCTAGGATTAGAGGTGTGAGTTGTTGAGACCCTCCCATCCTCCAACTTTTATCTCACAATCTATTGTGCCTCCTTTGGGGACAGACAGTGGCTTCCTGGATGGACAGTGGCTTCCCCTCAGGTACCTGGGGAATTTGGGGGCCTCCTCCCCACTTAAGACCAGATTAGAAAAGAGAGACTCCACCTCACATTCTAGAGCGCCATCCCCACAAATGAACAAATGAGTGAATGGGATGCCTGTTGAAAAGGCAGGATATAGACAGCCTGGGTTCAATTTTAGCTTCACCACCTCCCAGCTGTGTGACCTCAGCTGATTTGCATGACCTGTCTGAGCCTCAGCATCCCCACCCTGTAAAATGGGAATCCACACAGCATCCCCTTGCCCAAAGGAGCAGGGAGGGTTGTGAGAGGCTCGTGGGTGAAAAGCACAGAGCAGAGCATGGGCCCCAGTGAGCCCTGATCCATGAGGTCTGCTAGCATAATAATTATTCTCTCCACGTGCTGCACAGGGTGGCCCCGGAGGCCTTAGCAGAAATAACAGAAGCTCCCGGCCCTTTACCGTGGTGATGATGGTCCTGACCACTCATTGTGGGAGGGTGCTATGGGGCCAGGAAGGGATGGGGGGTGACAGAACTGCCCCTGAACCCTGACGGGAGCAGGCTTCTGTGGGCAAGGCCCCTTCCCGGTGGCTCAGCCAGCTCTGCACCCATGCCCCAAGTCTGCAGCATGGCTTACCCTTCTGGGACTGCTCCGAGCTGTTGAACATGCTGGCAAAGGCCAGCCTGGGGGCCACCTCGCGGGCATTGATGACCTCAGCTTTTCCTAGAAGAAGCAGGTAGGCAGGCCCACCCACCAAAACCCTTTATGCCACGTGAGCCTGGGGGCCACCCAGCTGTGCCTCGGCCCAACCCACACCCCCTGCCCCTCTCCCTCTCCTCTTCCGAGGCACTCATGAGTGGTGCTGTTGTAGATGGTGAGGAAGAGGCCAACCCCGATGCCCATGCTGTGGGCATTCATGAGCCCCACACACAACAGGGCTGCAATGGCTGCATCCACTGCAGAGCCACCGTCCCGCAGTGTGTCCCTGCCATGTGGCACATAAAGGCATGAGAACCTGCAGGCTTCCACCCTGGCCCCGCATACACACCCTGCTGCCCACCTGCCCAAAGGAGGATGGAAGAGAAGTCCATTCGAGTTTTGGGGTTTTTGTTTTTAGTTTCTTTCTCTTTTTTTTGAGATGGAGTCTTGCTCTATTGCCAGGCTGGAGTGCAGTGGCACGATCTCAGCTCACTGCAACCTCTGCCTCCCGGGTTCAAGCCATTCTCCTGCCTCAGCCTCCTGAGTAGCTGGGACTACAGGTGCATGCCACCACGCCCAGCTAATTTTTGTATTTTTAGTAGAGACGGGGTTTCACCATGTTGGCCAGGATGGTCTCTATCTCTTGACTTCATGATCCACCTGCCTTGGCCTCTTTTTTTTTTTTTTTTTTTTTTTGGAGACAAAGTCTCTCTTTGTTGCTCAGGCTGGAGTGCAGTGGTGTGATCTTGGATCACTGCAGCCTCAGTCTCCTGGGCTCAATTGACCCTCCCATCTCAGCCTCCCAAGTAGCTGGGACTATGGGCACATGCCACCATGCCCAGCCAATTTTGTTTGTTTGTGTATTTTGTAGAGATGGGGTTTCATCATGTTGCCCAGGCTGGTCAAGAACTCCTGTGCTCAAGTAATCCACCCACCTTGGCCTCCCAAAGTGCTGGTATTACAGGCATGAGCCACTGTGCCCAGCCTTTGTTTTATGAGACAGGGTCTCACTTTGTCACCCAGGATGAAGTGCAGTGGCACAGTCTTGGCTCAATGCAGCTTTGACCTCCTGGGCTCAAGCAATCCTCCCACTTCAGTCTCCTGAGTAGCTGGGACTACAGGTAAGAACCACCACACCGGGCAATTTTTTGTCTTTTTTGTAGAGATAGGGTCTTTCTATGTTGCCCAGGCTGGTCTCAAACTCATGGTCTAAAGCAATCCTATCGCCTCAACCTCCCAAAGTGCTGGGATTACAGTTTCTTCTTTTTCTTTTCTTTTTTCTTTTTTTTTTTTTCTGAGACAGAGTTTCACTCAGTTGCCCAGGCTGGAGTGCAGTGGCATGATCTTAGCTCACTGCAACCTCTGCCTCCTGGGTTCAAGCGATTCTCCTGCCTCAGCCTCCTGAGTAGCTGGGATTACAGGCGCACACCACCATGCCCGGCTAACTTTTTATATTTTTAGTAGGGACAGAGTGCACCATGTTGGCCAGGCTGGTCTCGAACTCCTGACCTCAGTGGTCTGCCCGCCTCAACCCCCCAAAGTGCTGGGATTACAGGTGTGGACCACCTTGCCCAGACAGTTTCCTCTTTATTAAGCAAACAAATGTACATGACTTTTATAATTGGGACAAAAAGGGAAATTGCTATACTTTATTAATAACATTTTTTTTTTCCCTGCTAGAGATGGTGGCTTACACCTGTAATCTCAGCACTTTGGGAGGCCAAGGTGGAGGATCACTTGAGGCCAGGAGTTCAAGACCAGCCTGGGCAATAGAGTGAGACCATCTCTACAAAACAGTCTTTTTTAATTAGTCAGGTATGATGCACGCCTGTAGTCCTAGCTACTCAGGGGGCTGAGGTGAGAGGATCGCTTAAGCCCAAGAGTTCAAGGCTGCAGTGAGCTAGGATCATGCCACTGCACTCCAGCCTGGGTGACAGAACAAGACCCTGTCTCAAAATATGAAAAACATAATATTTTTTCTGTTTAAGTCTTTAGGAGGGAACTTATCTTTATATATAACATGAGATAAGAGTCTAAAATAGAATAACACAGTAGAAGCCAGGCACCATGGCTCACACCTGTAATCCCAGCACTTTAGGAAGCTGAGGCGGGAGGATCACTTAAACCCAAGAGTTTGAGGCTGCAGTGGGCTATGATCGCTCCCCTATACTCCAGCCTGGGTGACAGAGTAAGACTCCACCTTAAAAAAAGAATAAGCCCTTCATGTCCCTGTTTGGGCAACAGCGTTCCTTGGGGGGAGGGGGGAGGGGGGAGGGATGGCATTGGGAGATATACCTAATGCTAAATGACGAGTTGGTGGGTGCAGCACACCAACATGGCACATGTGTACATATGTAACAAACCTGCACATTGTGCACATGTACCCTAAAACTTAAAGTATAATAATAAAATAAAATAAAAAAAAGAAAGAAAGAAATTGTCTCCTAACCAAAAAAAAAAAAAAAAAAAAAAAGAAAAGAAAAGAAAAGAATAAGCCAGGCGTGGTGGCTCATACCTGTAATCCCAACACTTTGGGAGGCCCAGGTGGGTGGATTACCTGAGGTCAGGAGTTCGAGACCAGCCTGACCAACATGGTGAAACCCCATCTCTACTAAAAACACCATAATTAGGCCAGGCGCAGTGGCTCACACCTGTAATCCCAGCACTTTGAGAGGCAGAGGTGGGAGGATCACAAGGTCAGGAGTTCAAGACCAGCCTGGCCAACATAGCAAAACCCTGTCTCTACTAAAAATACAAAAATTAGCTGGGCATGGTGGCACATGCCTGTAGTCTCAGCTACTGTGGAGGCTGAGGCAGGAGAATCACTTGAACCTGGGAGGTGGAGGCTGCAGTAAGCCAAGATTGCACCACTGCCCTCCAGCCTGGGTAACAGAGCGATACTCTGTCTCAGAAAACACACACACACACACACACACACACACACACACATATACACACACACAAATTTGTTGGGCGTGGTGGCGCACTCCTATAATCCCAGCTACTTGGGAGGCTTAGGCATGAGAATCGCTTGAACTTGGGAGGCGGAGGTTGCAGTTAACTGAAATTGCACCACTGCACTCCAGCCTGGCAACAGAGCAAAACTCCATCTCTAAATAGATATAGATAGATAGATAGATAGATAGATAGATAGATAGATAGATAGATGATAGATAGATAGATAGATAGATAGATAGATAGATAGATAGGAAGAAATAAGTAAAAATAACAACCAAACAACAAAACAGTGGAGTTTATCCAAAGAAACAGAGACTCTTAGAACTGAGAAAAGGGGCCCTGTTTGGCTCTAGAGACCCACACCCTGCTCTCGGAGTCACCGTCCCCTTCCCAAAGGCTACTGAGAGAGTCCAAGCGAAGCTTACATGTGGGGAAACTGAGTCTCAGAGGGGTGAAGGTATTGCTCAGGTCCACTTGCCCAGTTTTCAGGGCCCATGTCCCATGCCCTGCCCCGCTCACCTCCCAATCTCCAAGCACTGCTTGGCATCCGCGGCCACGGCAGCCCTGGTGTACACATGGTTGTCAGGTTCCTTGGAGGCCGAGGGCAGCCAGAGACAGAGGCTGACAATGACCAGCACCAGGACCACGGCCAGCAGGCCCAGCACCACTAACTTCTTCTTCATGGCTCTGCTGCACCCACGGGGTAAGGAGCAGGGTCAGGCCCAGCCTCAGACATGCCCTGGCCCCTCCCCAACAGGGCACAGTCTAAAGTCAGGCCTCAGAAACACAAGGCCTGTGTCTCCTTCCCGCTTCCCAGAATACGTGCAGGCTGTCCGGCCCCCAGACCTTTGCGCAGGCCATGCCCTCTGCCAGAAGCTCTGGGCCTCATCTCTGCCCTCCCAAATCCTCCCTGCTTATCTTCAGAGCCCATCCTGGTAAGAACCCCATCTCCAGCAGCGGCCCTTCCTGGGAGCCCCCAGATTTCCACACCCCTCTTTCTGCAGGGCCTGGCCTACCTCCTCACAGTGGCTGAGCCTCCACTGCTTAGGGAGAAGCTCCAGCAGGGATGGGCCTGGCCTGGTTTCTCCTGTGTCCCCCACCCCAGCCTAGAGCCTGGCACTGTCCAGGAGTCCTCTGAAGACCCTCCACCCCACCTGGAGCATGGGGTTTAGCTTCCATAGTGCCCACAATCAGAGCGCCCCACAGATTCACTGCCACGGGGCCAGGACTTACCGTCCAGCAGCAGACGGGGGCCCCAAGCCTTGCCTGGGGTGTTGGCCACGAAAGACAGGAGGATTTGGTGGAAACAGCTGAGGAAATAACCGGGGTCTCCCTCACACTCTGCTGAAGCCTGTAGCCACAGAATCTTCTTCAGAGACTCTCTGATCAGGCAGCCTTCTCGTTCTCCTGAAGGTCAAGGGAGGTTACCTGAAGCACGCACAGCTCAGACCTTTCTGGGGGACTCCGTGTTACCTCCCTCTGCCTCTAGCTGGTTTTTCTGTCTCCAGTTGAACTCTGGAGGCAAAGAGGCTGTCAGTAACACATTTGTTTCCATGAATTCTCTCAGCATGTCTCCCAGGCACAGGGTTTTGCACGGAGCAGGGCAGGTAGGGGACAGGGCATTCCTGCACAAGCCCAGGATGTGCATGCGGTAAGCATGGCAAAGGGGGCTCAGGGGGCACCGCCAGCCTGCCCTGCTCTGACGCTGGACTTGCCACTCACCTGCTGTGGGGCCTCAGGCAAATCACTGAACTGTCCAGCCTGGATGACGGCAGCACCTCACTTGCCTTGCTGCTGGGAGTGTTGTGAATAGAGTAGGTTAGACTGTGGGCAGGGCTTGGTGAATGGTAGCTGTGATTATCATCATGGCTGCACTGGGGACACCCCCAGGAGGCCTGAGTGGCACAGGTCTCTTGCTCACTGTATGTCCCCTGTGGACTCCCTTCCAGGCTGTGCAGTGAGTGGCAGCAGTGACCCTTGGGAAGTCTCATGGCTACGGCAGCAGGTGACAGGTGTGACAACAGGGAAGAGGGATGTGGTGACAGAGGTTGGGGTTCCCCTCTCCCACAGTCAGTTTCCCACAAAGGGCGGTGTCTGCCAGCAAGCCCCTCCAATGAGCCCCAAGCTTGGTTTCCCTCCACTCCACGCTGTCCCAGTGCAGAGCGTCTGACCTCAGAGGCAGACACACTGTCCCAGAGGTGGTCTATGAATGGAGTCCCCGTGCCCTCCCCACACACAGGGAACATCCAAATGCCATCATGGAAGGGTGGCCACCTCCCCAGGCTTGGTGGGCCTGGGGCCGATAGTGTGATACATTTGACCCCCTCCCAGCCCTGGATGCAGACACCAAGAGCAGAGAGACCTGGCAGTAGTCATGCAGCAGCGCACCACCCCACATCCTCAGCATAATCCAAAGCAGCCCCTCATCCCCACCGTGACCACCACAGCCTGAATCCTGGTGCCACCTGTTTCTGACCTGAACTCCCTCACAGCCCCTGCCTGCACTCCCTCCCTCCAACATCACCTGCCCTTCAGTCTTCCAGAAAGCAGCTAGAGGGCTCTGTCTGTCCAACTGCAGAACAGGCCCTGCCTCCTCCCTGCCCCGTTGGACAGCTCACACCCTTCACCAGGCCTGACAGCGCTCTTGCCACTCCAACACCCTGGGTCCCAGCTGGGAGTCTGGGTCAGGGTTAAGGGTTCCTGATAGAGACACCGATTCCTGGAGGTCCAAAGAGCCTCAGGAGCTGGGCCAGCAATATGCAGCATCTATTATGGACACAGAACATTCCCATCACATGGCCGGGTGCAGTGGCTCACGCCTATAATCCCAGCACTTTGGAAGGCAGAGGCAGGTGGATCACCTGAGGTGAAGAGTTCGAGACCAGTCTGGCCAACATGGTGAAACCCCCATCTCCACTAAAAATACAAAAAATTAGCCAGGCATGGTGGCAGGTGCCTGTAATCCCAGCTACTCAGGAGCTGAGGCAGGAGAATTGCTTGAACCCGGGAGGTGGAGGTTGCAGTGAGGCAAGATTGCACCACTGCACTCCAGCCTGGGCCACAAGAGTGAAACTCCGTCACACACACACACACACACACACAAAAGAAAAAAAAGGTCTCCTGCTGGGACACAGACTAGTTAGAGAAAGGAAAAATAAACAAATGATAGTATGTATATTAATAAAAGAACTAGCAACACCCACTGCTTAGTTGTGATAATAAAAACTGGACATTAATATAGGCAGAAAAACAGAACAGCCTTGATATGGTTAACCCTTTGACACTGGCAAACACTGTGACCAGTGCTGCCCACACTGGAAGCTCCTGCATCCCTCTTCCTCATGTTTCCTTCAGCATTAAGGAGCAACAAGGGAGACAGCCAGTTCATAGTTCCTTACGCATGGAGCCAAAGGACCTTCAATGTACAAGGTCTGAGCAAGGACCCGCAGCCACATGTGCTTCCTGCTTCAGCAGTGCCCCGTGGGTCTCAGAGCTACCCAAAGGCCTATCCTTCCGAGAGGTTTCTCCTCTCTCCCAACTGATGTCATACGTCTCATCTTCCTTGTCATTCAGATCATCAACCACAAACGTCCTTGCCTTATATTTTCATATCCCTTTTCACCAGTTACAGGGTTAGTTAACTTACGAAATTCTTAACATCTGCATTAGATCTTTTTAAAGTTTCACCCTCAACCACCTATTATTTAGAAGTGAACACAGAAATTTAGTTTCCTTGTGCTATCTGTTGACCCCTAAAATATGCTGGGAGTTTTGGGATTTTTTTTAAAGTCAAATGCATGGCATAAAGCAAAATTACACTACTAAAGAACTGAGTCAGGCCAGACGCTGGCAACGTGAAGACAGCTTCTCCTTACCCACTAGGTTCATCTTTGCACTGTTAACTCCCAAAGTATTGCTTCTCGGTGCTGGGTGTGTGGCATTCATATTCCCCGGCATCCCGGGCCTGAAGATCTGTGATGTGCAATAGGGTTGGGTTCCCCTGGACTCTTTCTATGAAGATCTTCCCTCCGCGGACGCGCTGGGTGTAGATGGCATAGGGGAAGGAAGAGTCCATGGTGCTGACGATCTGCACCTCTCGCTCTGGCGACGAAGGCAGGTAAATGGACCACTGGAAATTCTGTTCAGAAGGTCCCTGGTAGCCACTCACATTGCACCAGATAGTGATGTGGGAGCCCTCTGTGCGGTACAAGGGTCCTTCCTGAACGGTGACCTGCCGCTGTGCTGACACCACACCTACGAGGAAGAGAAACACATGCAACATGCTCACTTACTTCTCAGACCAAAATGCAAAGTAGGCAGCAATCTCCAAAGGGTTTGTTATTTGTGTGACATGATAATAATATAAACAGCTTACTGGCCCTTTCAAAGGCACTCTGTGATTTATAAATATTAATTAAAACACTCTGTGGTAAAGCACTGTCCCTAATTTGCATATATATGGGAATTTGATCATGCCAAGATGTGCTTTTGTTACTTATTCAACAGCTGACCCTTGGGAATTTCATTTAGACCCTCTGTTTGTCATGTATACGGCAGTTTTATATCTATTTATTAATGCTGTGTATAAAGTTTTTAATAAAATAAGCAGGAAAAGTTGAATCCTTGGCACAAATTCAGATGAAAACAAATAAAAGCAACCATCTAGGAATCTGGCTGAAATTAAATGCTTCTTCCTTGGTCCGAGTGCTGGTGGGAGGGAGTCCTGGGAGCACCTTTTTACTGGTGCTGCACCCTTCATTTTCCCATGTAGCTGCTCCCCAACACCACCCCAAGGAGCATTCCTTAGTTTCTCTTCCCTCCATAAATGGAGGCAGGGCTGAGCTCCTGCAGGCTGCTATCGTTTTAAGCTGAGCACACCCAAATACAAATGTGAAGGGCTGAAACAGATCCCTGATGCCCAGATTCCCACAAACTGACAAAGGGGGGAACTAACAGTGCCCAGCTAAACCTGTGACAAGGACAGTCAGGCTACCCTTGAGTTTCCCACTCAAGACTCCCCCGCTGACCTCCTGCCTTCTGGCTCAGATACTGTTCTCCACGGTCACTTCTGCCTGCCTTCTCCATGTTCTTCTTAAAGTGGCATGGTGAGTTTAATTTCTCATTTCGTGCCAACTCAACATTGATTGTGCCTGAGCCACTCAGAAGGTGGGAGGGGGCACACCCCTGCCTCTTCATTTCGGCAGTGGTCACGTACTGCAGGTTGTGAAAAGCGCAGGTGAGTTATAGGCGCAGCTTTGCCACCAATTAGAGCTGGTTGTGTCATCTCAGACAACTTGCTTTTCTTCTCCAGACCTTGATCTTCTCATCTATCACATGATTTCTAAGAACGTTTTAGAGAGCACTAGCATGGGTTCCGATGCTGGCTTTGTCACTTATTAACTGTGATCTTGGATAAGCTGCTTAACCTCTCTAAGCCTCAGTTTTCTCATCGGTAAGATGGGGATAATAATGCCTGTCTCATAGGGTTATTGAGAAGATTTAGTAACATCTGTAAAGACCCTAGCACAGAGCCTAGCCCACAATCAGTCCTCAATAAAGAGCTGCTGGCTAAGACATATTTCTGCTGGAACATTCTGTGGCTCTGGATCCATAGAGGACAGGATTTGGCCAATGACTGCTTAAGGACATTTCAACGGCCCCTTGACAATGACACCATCACTGGGCTGCCCACCTCATCCCACAGCTGCAGCCCATTCTTGTGATAGCTTCCCTTTTCCCCCACAAATGGGAATGGCGGCTGCCCTGGCTATGCCTATCCGAAGTGGATCCAGCTGGTGAACAGCCGGGACAGCTCAAATACTAGTGGAGTGCAGCTCTCTGCCCAGCCCAGCAGGTGACTGTGCCTCAGTGTAAGCTAATCTAATCTGCAAGATGACAGACCTCAAAACGGCCCATACAATGAAATGCCCATGGCTTGCAAAACTTTAATTCATGCAGAACCTTTCCTCACAAACAAAATCTTACACAGCACCCCATCTTGGCTTCAGCAGAACCAGGAAAAATAAAAAATTGGCAGGGGAAGGAAATAAACAGAACAAGTGGTATCTGAATTTATTTGATATATTCTGGTTGATGGCATTAATTATGACATTTAAAGTCACCATGAGGACAACTCATTAGTAATATCAGTATGTTAAAATATGGTGCATAACATTTTTAATATATGTACAGTCATGCACTGAATAACATTTCAGTCAATGAGGAAACACATGTGCAACAGTGATCCTGTAAGATTATAGTGGAGCATATATAGAGATCTAATATATGGCACTTAATGTTGGCATGGCAGATCAAGTAGGGGAAATGACTGATATTTAGTAACAGTGCTGGGACATTTGATTTTCCATAATAAAATATATAAATGAAAATATATATCCCATCTAGGTTTGTTGAAATACACCCTATGATGTTCACACAAGAATGAAATTGCCTAATGATGCATTTCTTAAAACATGTCCCCATCATTAAGTGACCCATGACTGTATACACACACACATATGGTGACACTTAAATCAAATGATTGCAGTATTCCTGAAACACAGAACATTTTGCAAACAATTTACCTACATTCATAACATTAGGCATCCTTAGAATTGCAGTGTTCTATGACAGAGCAACTACAACCAACCCCCATCCATCTCCTGCAAAGAAGGCTGGAGGCAGGTCAGGGTACACCAGCATCTTCAAGAACTGCTTCTCAATCCTGGACCTACACTGGAATCACCTGGGGAGCTTTAAAAAAAATAACAGTGCCTGGACCCCACCTGACATAACTGGTCTTAGGATTAATTAGGGTTTTTTTTGAAGCTCCACAGATGATTCAAATCAGGTGTAGCAAAGCACTGTTACTTTAAAGTGTCTCTACCTACATGGTGCCAGCCAAGTGCTCAAATGAAATATCTTAAGGCTCTCACTGGCTTTAAGTTTCTCTCTTTGGTAGAGACCCAATCACTGGTTCAAGGAAGTTTCATTCTCCTCCAGTCTTCCCCAGTGCAAAAGAAAACAGCTGAGACCCATCAGATACTGGCTTTTGTGATGCAATAATGAGTTTAACCAGAATGCATCCGATTTACAGACCTTACAAAGGCACTAGGCCAGCGGATCATGCACGTCCTCCCCACCCAAAGGTAAACAGTGTTAAGTGGCCTGAATGAGCCAGGACAGCAGGGTCAAATCAACTTGTCTAGGCTGGAAGCAGGTTATAAACAATCCGGACAAATAAATAACTACTGGATTGCACTTTAACCACACACATTCAGCTGCACCTGTTTATTAAATACCTCCTTAATTTCCCTCTGCCCCACAAAGGGCTTCTGACCCCTGAAAATAATGCTTCTCAACATAAAAAGAATTGTTTTCTTCTTGGCAGTTTAATTCCCCTTCTACACATCCCACCCCACCATTTCCCTATAATGGTAATACCCCGCTGTGCAGACCTCTGCTGCCTCCAAAGAGACACAGGCGCCCAACCCTGACCAGGGCATCCTCTGACCCACAGCCCCTCTATCTCCCCTCTCAGCCTACAATAGAAAGTTCCTCCCAGGCAAGGATCATTTTTTTTAAATAACTTTTTTAACTTTAGACATTCTGTACTCTTTGGATTACTCTGCAATAAGCAAATATGACTTCTGTAACATAAAAAGAAAGATCAAAATGTTATATATAACTGCATGAAAAGAACTAGAAAGAAAATACTAGGTGACAGGATGGCAAGTGATTTTTATTTTTTTCTTAATATTTTACTCCTTCCCCCAGTCCTCTGCAATGAGTATGTACCAGTTTTATAACTAGAAAAAAATTTTAGCCAAAAAGAAAAATAATGCATGTTTGCTATATAAAATTCACTACTGTAGTATTTATATATATATATATATACACACATACATATTTGGTCTTTGTCCCCAGTTCCTGGCACTGAGCTCCTAAACCCCTTGGAACTTCCTAAGCAATGGGAGTACCTTTTGTTATTTATAAGAAGCCCCTTTTGGCCATCCCAGAGTTTATGCTAACGAGGTGACTGAAGGTGAGCACGGAGGCAGTTTCAAGGAAGGAGCTGGCCACGCTTAGAATTGTGGAGTTTTCAGCCCTGCCCTTAGACCTCCAAGGACAAGAGGGGGACCGCAGATTGATCCAATCAGCATTGGTCAGTGATTTGATCAGTCATACCCACGTAATGAAATCCCATATGAAAACCCTAAATAATGGAGTTAGGAGAGCTTCTGGGTGCTGGAAGCGGCGTGCACCAGGAGAGGGCATGGGCAGTGAGCACTACTCCCCTCTCAGACCTTGCCCTATGCACTAAATAGGACTGACCTATGTGACCAATAGGAAATGCACAAATGGTGGAATGTGACTTCCAGGGCTAGGTCATAAAAAGACAAGCACGATGTTATGAGGACATCAAAGCAGCCATATGGGGAGGACCCCATGAGGCCTCCTGCCAGCAGCTAGCACTAACTTGGCTAGCATGTGACTGGAAGTAGATTCTCCAGCCTCAGTCAACTCAGTCAAGCCTTCAGATAATGTCAACCCCAGGCATCTTTTTGTTGTTGTTGAGACAGGGTCTCACTCTGTCACCCAGGCTGGAGTGCAGTGGTGCAATCATAGCTCACTGCAGCCTTGACCTCTGAGGCTCAAGTGATCCTCCCACATCAGCCTCCTGAGTATCTGGGACCACCAGCACACACCACCATGCCTGGCTAACTTTTTTATTTCTTATAGAGATGGGATGATATGGTTGGGGTCTGTGTACCCACCTAAATCTCACGTTCAATTATAATCCCCAATGTTAGAGGTGGGGCCTGGTGGGAGGTGACTGGGTCACAGGAATGGATCTTTCATGAATGATTTAGCATCACCCTTTTGGTGCTGTGCTCGTTAGAGTTCTCCCAGTATCTAATTGTTTAAAAGTGTGTGGCACCTCCCCCCTCTCTCTCTTGCTCCTGCTTTGGCCATGTAAGGCGTGCCTGCTTCCCCTTCACCTTCCACCATGATTGAAAGTTTCCTGTGCTTGCCCCAGAAGCTGAGCAGATGCCAGCATTATGCTCCCTGAACAGCCTGTGGAACTGCGAGACAATTAAACCTCTTTTCTTTATAAATTCTCCAGTCTCATGTATTTATAGCAATGTGAGAACTGACTAATACATAGGGTCTCACTGTGTTGCCCAGGCTGGTCTCAAACTCCTGGGCTCAAGTAATCCTCCTGGCTTTGCTTCCCAGAGTGTAGAGATTACAGGCATGACCACTGAACCTGCCCCTTTCCCCCCAACAACATCTTGATTGCAACCTCCTAAGAGACTCCGAGTCAGAAGTATCCAGTTAAGATGTTACTGACTTTCTGAACCACAGAAACTGTGAGATAATAAACATCTATTGTTCCTTTAAGCCTTAAGTTTGGGGCTTTTTTTTTTACACCAATATATAACTAATGTAGACACCTGCAGTCCCTAAGATTGAATGCAAAATTGTGTTACATACACATGAGTGTGTTCTTCTGGGAAAAGAGTCCATAAACTTCAAAAGATTCTCAAAGGAATCCAAGACCCAAAAAGATTAAGAAACATTGCATCAGACAATAAATTGTCAATGAGCAAGGTCCTGTCCTTTTAGATTGGGTTTTGAAATCACCCATCCCACAAATATATGATACCACTTAACTAGTTTTTCAAGATATTTCTTGTTCAAAGATGCTCCCACTTTTTCTTTGTGCTCAAGTCCTAGATAAACCTGGCTAGGGGCAGGAGGTATGATTCAGGAGTTAGTGAGCCGGGAGGGCTCACTGTGCCTGGGAAAGCCAGCTTCTCATGAATTTTTGGAATATGCCTTGGCTCAGAAACCTACCTCTCTAGGCACAGGATCCAACTTATACGTTCAAGATGCGTGACTGAGCATGTGAAAGTGTCAGAGGGATCGACCTCACCATTTTACATCTACTTTTCCAGTTGTGGCCCCTACAATCATCAAGGCTCATTCGGCACCATGCTCCTCCAAATTCTGCATGCGACTCAGCCACACTAATATCTTTCTTCATCTCTAAGATGAAAGTAATACAACGCACCATGTAGCAAACTCACAGGAGACCCTAGAGATCAAATAACACTGTGAAAGCCACCAAATGAATATTTTAAAATTTTATCTCATTTCTGCCAAGGTGAGATATCAATCTAAAAACAGGATAAATCTTTGTAAGTACAAGAACATTAAAAAGAACATTAAGTTTGGGTTAAAAATGCAAAACTGCATATGCAGGAAAATTACGTTAAAAAAAAAAAAAAATCCTACACCTACAAAAACAACCAAACAAAACATTGATGATACTGGGCTGATTCACTGAATGGTGAGAATATGAGTGATTTTCTCCTCTCCTATTTTTCTCAATACCTTTTCTCTATTATCTCCTTTTTTAAATAAGCAAGTATATATTGTTCTAAACCGAAGATAAATGATCATGAGCAGCACTTTCCCAGGCACTGTCCTAGTTGCTCTGCATACATCATCGCATTTAATCCTCACAACAGTGAATGGGGTCGATTTCATTACAGCCACATTTACCAGACAAGGAAATGGTTTTCAAGGTTAAGTAACCTTCTCATGACACAGAATGTGACTAAGAGTTTTCTTATTCCATGGCTCACACTAAATGTGCTCTGTGAATATCAGTGAGAAGTAATAAAGCACTGACTGGATTTTCTTGGTCACCGGGTCCTAAAAGAAATGATGGGGAATCTATGCAGTCCCAAGTTAAAAATGGGAACTGAACTGAGCTGCCACAGCATGCTGAATAGGTGGAGTCCAGGCCAACTAAGTGCTTCATGGAACTTAAAGGCTCCAGAGGGAAAGCAATCGGGAAGGCACTTCCACAGGCACATCGGTGACAACTTCTGGGGATTCTTACCTGTCAGCCTTCAGCCAAGGAAGGACAGGAAGTGGCATGGGCTAAAAGATCCTTTGTTTGACCTCTTTCCAGATCAGGTGACAGGAAAACACAACACTTGAACCTTTCCAATAAGGACAGCCAGCACTTACTGAGCCCCAGCCAGGTAACTGACACTGTTCCAAGTACTCTGCTTGTATAACCAGCTTTAACCTTGCAACAGCCCTCTGAGGTAAATACTCCTAGTGACCTCACTTTACGGATGCAGAACCTGAGGCAAGGAGTTAGGGAGTAAATGAAGCTGGCTAAAGGCACTTGCACTGGCCAGGCACAGTGGCTCATGCCTGTAATCCCAGCACTTCCAGATGGATCACTTGAGGTTAGGGGTTCGAGACCAGCCTGGCCAACATGGTGAATCCCCAGCTCTACTAAAAATACAAAAATTAGCCGGGTGTGATGGCACACGCCTGTAATCCCAGCACTTTGGGAGGCCAAGGCAGATGGATCACTTGAGGTTAGGGGTTCGAGACCAGCCTGGCCAACATGGTGAATCCCCAGCTCTACTAAAAATACAAAAATTAGCCGGGTGTGATGGCACACGCCTGTAATCCCAGCTACTCAGGAGGCTGAGGCAGGAGAATTGCTTGAACCTGGGAGATGGAGGTTGCAGCAAGCCGAGATCGCACCACTGCACTCCAGCCCACTCGGTCAATGTCACTGCCATCAAGGGACAGTCTAACCAAGGTCCAGATGGCACAAGTGGAGCCATAAAACCAGGACAGCTTGAGGTTCAGCTTCCTAAGCCCACAGGTGCAAGGACCTTATCTGGATCCATACTTTCATCAAAAATGTCCCTTGAGGCCAGGCACAGTGGCTCATGCCTATAATCCCAGCACTTTGGGAGGGCGAGGCAGGTGGATCACCTGAGGTCAGGAGTTCGAGACCAGCCTGGCCAATATGGTGAAACCCTGTCCCTACTGAAAATACAAAAATTTAGCCCAGCATGGTGATGTGCGCCTGTAATCCCAGCTACTCCGGAGGCTGAGGCAGGAGAATCGCTTGAACCCAGCAGGTGGAGGTTGCAGTGAGCCGAGATCATGTCATTGCACTGTGGGCTGGGCAACAGAGCAACACTCTATGTAAAAAAAAAAAAAAAGGTCCCTTCAGGATTCCTCGAGCCTGGGAGGCCGAGGCTGCCATGAACAATGATTGTGCCACTGCACTCCAGCCTGGGTGACAGAGCGAGATCTTGTCTCAAAAAAAAAAAAAAAAAAAAAATGGCTCTTGAAACAGCCATCAACTCCCATGTGATAAATGCACTGCCACAATCCAGCAGCAAACCTAAAGTTCGGAGTGAATTCCTAAGTCTTCGCCTTCACTGACTTCCCACAGCATGGGCAGTAGCTGTGAGACCTTGGGCTGGTTACTTAACCTCTCTGCACCTCAGTTTCCTCATCTGTAAAGTGGTATAATCGTCACAGTGTTATGGAAGGATTTAATGAGTTGCTACATTTAAAACTTAATTCCTGGCACACAATAAGTGCTCAATAAATGTTTAGCCGCTAGTTGCAGTAGTAGCAATAGTAGTGATATTAACTCTAGCTGTGGAACTAATTTCTCCCACACACCGTGGCAGGTTGTATTCTCCAGACACAGCAGTAACAATATCTCCTTCCCACACGCTCTTTTGCAATGTGACCATGCCACACACTCCCATCAAGAGGTGGAGTTTAGAATAATTCCCTCCTCTGTGGATCTGGGCAGGAAGTCACTGTGTGACTTCCAGTCCTAGGTCATGAAAAGTGATGTAGCTTCCATTTCACTCAGGGTGCCCTGAACCACCACATAAGAAAGCCAACGGTCCTGAGGCCATGCTGTGAGGGGGCCCAAGGCACATGGAGAGGCCCTGGGCAGGTGCTCCAGTCCAGAGCTGGCTCCAGCCAGGTCCCCCTGCCACCAAGTGAGTGAATGAGCCAATCACCACCCAGCTCCACCTGCCACCATGTGAGTGAACAAGCCTCCCCTGTGAGCTGCCCCCAGCCTCGGAACTTCCAGCCATGCCTGCCGTGCCTGTAAATTCTCAACCCCCAGATTCTGTGAGCATAACAAAATTGTTGTTTTAAGCCACTGAGGTTGGGAAACATTTGTTACATAGAAAGGTAACAAGAACATATGCTATGGCTTCAATCAACATTTTTTTCAGTACCTATTATGATGGACACTAGGACAGAAACTGTGAGGGAGAGATTAATAAGACATAGTTGACAAGTTGTCCTAAGCTGACAATCCTAAAATAAATACACATAACTAATCATTTTAATGGTATACGATAGCAGTGAGGTGCAAAGTGCAAGGTTAAGCCCTTTCAGAAAGTGAAAGCATTCAAAAAGCCTTCAAAAAAGTAGTGACATCTGAATTGGGTCCCAAAGCGCAAGGGAAATATATACCACATGAAAACACCGCAGTGCATTCCAGGATTAGCAAGAAGTTTGCGGAGGTCGTTTTGTCACATGACTGGAGGGCACATCAGTGCCAGGCGGAAAAGGGCACCGAAAGGCACATTAATAAAGTCAAACACCTCCTCTGGGACAGGGGAAGTTGAGAAAGAGCCTAACAGAGGTAAGGAAGAAGACGGATCAGATTTACACTTTCGAATTATCACTCTGGTGGCAGGTGAAGGACAGAGCAGAGGGCAGGACTGGAAGCAGACAGACCAAATTCACAGTCAAATGCGACAAGATGAGGGCCTGGCCTGGTTTTAAATCCAAGGACAAAAATATCATTCATTCACTCTTTCATTCTTTCTCTTATCTGAATCCCCAGTGGTACCTAAAATAGAGCTGGTCTAAAGATGATGATTAATGAATGTTAAATTATTGATACTACTTCTAAGAAGATGTAACTGCCAGCTACAGAACCAGCCAAAAGGACTGCAAACCCAGTAATTCATTTCATCCCAACCTGACTGATCTCTCTGATGTCTGCACTGCTGTGTCACTAGACTGCCTGATTGTCCTAGGTTGAGACATTTACCTACTGAGCCCCAGGGATGGGTGGCTGCTTCTAAGCTGCTGCCTAATTCCCTCATTACTAAATGTTGACGCTGCTTCCTTAGAGGACTGCTAAACCATAACTCAAAAATGTTTTAAACATGCTACTATTTACTTAGATTAGAATATTTACTTAAATGTTTTAAAAAATACAGTATTTTAAGTCTTTTATCTCTTCTGACTACTACCACTAACCCTGCTTCCCCTCATTTTTCCAGAGATTAGCACTACTGTGATTTAAGGATAGAGCTCTCCAGACTTAAAAAAAAAACAAAAAACTGCTTTTATATCTAGATATATGTAACCACTGAAAAATATACATTATTTTTCAGCATTTTTTACATAAACATTATCATCCCTTTCATTGAGTTATGTTCCTCAGTTTTCCTCCTCAAAGTTTTTGAGATCAAATATAGTTCCCATTTTTCTTCTTTATATAGCTGCACAGTATTCCATCATAGGATTACACCACATTTTATTTATTCCAATATTAATGAATATTTAGGTTATTTATAGTTTTTTTTCTATAACCAACAAGCCCATGCCTTCTACTGCTTATCCTTTCCCCACCTGAATTTGTACAATCCCCAGCTTCTCTTATCCATGACCACTGAAACCCCAGGGAAGACCTTATCACTTTCGGGATGTCCATGGCTCTTTCACCCTATGCCATGCTTGGAACCAGGAAAGCCCAAAAGACCCCACTTCCTGCCCTTCTATTCTGCTCCTCCTCTCCTATCGCTCATTTCTTTGCCTCTATCCTCCACTCCTCCCAGCAAAGGTAGGGATAGCACCTGAGTCCTGCCACCCTCTCACCTGCATTCCCCCTCACTCTCATGCGAAGGACAGCACAGAAGCAGCATCAAAAAAGAAAGGCAGCGAGGGAGCCCTGCAGCCTGCCCTAGGCCAGCCATGCCCACAGCCACAGGAATAGACACTGTTTTCAGCCCCACCTAGATTCAAGGCAGCATCTAATAGAAATGCTTATAAGTAAATATAAGTGCCAGTATTTGCCTTCTATTTTCTAGAGGGGAAAAAAATTAAAAGGCAAGATCAGATTACTTGCCTGGAAATGTTCTCCCTGTAATTACTCTGACCGCTCTTTCTTTCCCTCCGGTTTTGGAGATAATGGAAATAGGCTGAGTGTTGGGCATTTTTTTTTTTAAAGAGGGCAGCTTCATGGCAACACTCCCTCTGAGAAGTCCAGAGGCTCAGTGAACCGCAGCTTAGAGTGAGTTCCAGTAAAAGGACCATCACTTGAACCAGTAAGTGCCTCATTCCTTCTCACAGCATACATTTCACAGCAATTACTGTTGCTATTATTTTACGCTTCATTTCTGGACCTAGGATACCTCAGTTTCTCCAGACTCTCAGTCTGGTCCCCAGGTTTTCAGTCTGGGAGAAAGGTGTCTGCTGGATTTCAAACAGTCCCTCTACTGGCCGCCACCACCACCCTCTCCTAAAGAGGACTGGAATAACTCTTCCACAGCTCCCGCCACACTCAGCACTGCCTGCACCTCCTCCTGGAGCTGGCAGGGCCCCAGCTGTGCACCCCTCAATGCTCTCACAGCTTCAGGAAGAGGACTGCTAAGCCCAGGGCCCTGCTGACAACATGCCGGGAGCGCATCTGCAGGCAGGGTCAGAATGTCAGCTACCAGGCAGCAGAGAGATGCGGGGCACCAACAGCAAAAGCACTTGGGGGGCTTTTTCAAGTGGCATCAGAACTAGACCTGGATACAAAGGGGTGGCCCTGGCTTCAGGAAGCCCATGATAAGTCAGTCTGCTGTGTCCTTCAACACAGTGTCCCCACCTTCTGTCTCCCAACACTAGGCCATGGAGACACAAAACTAGAAAATGGGGCTGCCTAGCTACGAATGCCCAGGCTGTGAATTGGGGTCTCCAAAGGAACCTCAGAGCCGTGTCCTACTCAGAGCAGCTCCTTCAGCTCTTCACCCTGGAAAGCACTCCGGTACAAAACAGGAATATTCCTCTTCTCCTGACTCTGCCCAAGGCACTGCTGTGACCCTCTCAGCAGTGGAAGCACTAGCCAATGTGCCATCCTCTTGGACGATAGCTGGATAATCGCAATAAGCAGAGCTCCAACAACTAGCTCTAGTGTGTGGGGAGAAGTGGGGAGGATGGAGAAAGGATACAAAAAGACACTGTGGGATTTCAGGGCAACCCATGAGTGAGGATCACAGCAGAGCTATGCCTTGCAAGGACCAGAACTGGAAAACCTTTGTGACTTAGACCACCCTCCTCAGGACAGCTCCCGCCACTCTTCAGGGACAAAGTTCCTTTACTCAGCCATAGTTTCTGTGCTCCAAATACTCAGCTTACACATGCCTGTTGCTGCTGCACTCACCACTGTGGTTCTCAGTGCAAATTCCCCAGAAAGCAGTCTGACTGGCTGGGAGACCTTTTTTTTTTTAACCAGGCCCCCAAAGTTGTAGATTTTGGGGTCATTTACAATATGCATTTCCCCAACACACTCAGATCTAGGTGGACTTGACCAGATGGGCATCTGTATTCCATTACCCAGCATATAACCACTTTGGGCAACAGGGAATGTGAAGGGCCCCAAACCGTTCCCCACCAAGAGTGTGGGTGGCAGGCACCCTGAAATATGTCTAGCACACTCATAAAGCATGAACATCTACACACAACTAAAAATAAATAGTGAGAGCCCTGACACTGCTTCTGGGGGTTTTCCCAAGCACCTGTTACGAATGATAACAATGGATGGCCGCTCCTTCTCCCTCAGCTTTGACTTTCATTGCTGGTGGCTCAGGCTCCTGTGCTTGGCTGTCATCGGTGGGTAGCCCTGGATTGGACATTTTCCCTATTCAATTCAAGGACCATGTTCTTGAGCATAACTATGACCAGGCAGTAGGCAGTGGGCCCTGCTCTTTCTTTCCAGGGAGGCACAGATAAGCCAGCATCACAGATGCAAAAAACAGAACCGTGGAGGTAGAGACTAATTCTTCAGCAGCCCAGAGAAGAGAACTGGGAAACAGGGCCCTCGCAGATACACAAGACCAAGCTGGAGAGTTCAGGGACTTCCAAAAGAAGGTACAAGAATGAGCACTATACCATAGTGGGGTGGGTCACAAAAGCAGGAAAAGGTCCCCAAACAAAGAATCCATCAGTCAGTTACAGCATTCTCCCCATGTGGTGAAACAGTATGCAACCATTTAAAAACTGCAGAGAACAATATTTATGAACACCTAAAAATGCTGAAAGCACACTACTAAGTAAAAGGGGAGAAAGGCTATAAAAGGATTTGAAAGTATTTTCGTAAAGATAAACACCCACACACACCCACACACCTCTATATATGTGTGGAAAAAGGACTGGGCTAGTATATTTAAAAAACGCTAAAGGGAGGTCGGGTAATAAGGGATTGTTTTTTCCTTGCACTTTGTGTTTTCTAAGTATTCTATAGTCTGAATGAATTAGATTCATAATTAGGACCAACAGTCATAAGCAATTTCTCAGACCACCTGCCTCATAAAACCCAAAAAAAGAAGTCAGAGAGGGGTGAATATTTTGGTACAGATGAATTCAGGTTGTGTAAGTGGAGAGGAGGGAGGTGGCCAAGGAGCCTGAAGTGGGGGAGGGGGGCTGATGGTGAAATAGGGAATGGGTGGAGAGAGAAAATGATTGCAAAATTGGCTGGAGCCAGCCTGGTCAGGTCAACTTTGCAGGTGTGTGAAGTGTCAAATGGTTAATCAGTTGCCCTCTGTTTGAGCTGCTTAATGCACAAGGGCCTGGTTGAACAGGTTTGACCTCATTTACTTTTTCTTAAAGCTGTTTAGCCACTTTCCTAAAAACTCCTATTTTCTGAGTTATTAAACTTTCCATTCCATGTTGATCCCTTCCGAGCCCTCTAACGCATCTCTTCTCTTGCTTCTTCCAACTGGATGCCTTCATGAGGCATTAACAGATACTGTGAGCCCTGATGAAAATCATCCTTTCAGGGTACAAGGAAGGCACCTGAATGACAGATGGTTGGAGGAATCTTGAGAAAGCAGTTTAGGCATTAACATGCAGGCTGTCGCTGACTTACACAGAGCCAAGGACGTGACATACAGCATGGGGCCATTTCTAAATCCCCACTGAGGACAAGGGTCCTGGAGGGAATGGGATTTGGAACAAGATTTGGGCTTTGAACATTCGCTACAGGCTCTGACAAAGCAGTGATGGTTCAAAAGCCTCTGCCCCCTGGTGGCAAGCCCTGCCCAGATGCTGTTAAGGGGCTCTCCAGGCACGCCCTCCTAATTAGGGGCAAAATCAGAGAAGCCTCTTTGGAAGAAGACAAAAGGCACAATGAGATGCGGTCTCCTGAAGTAGAGGCTTTCTCTCTGGTTATCACCTGAAACAGGAAATAAGGACTGAGTACCTGCTCAATTCCAGGCACTAGCCAAATCTGCAGCGAACTAGCATTTCCAAAGGTGTCTTCTTACTTTAATCTCACAGCCACCCTGTGAGGGAAGTGTACATTCCCCATTTCGCTGATGAGATGAGCAAACTGAGGCTCGGAGAAATTGTCAGTGGGATACAGAGTTGGCATCCAAACCCACAATCTCTGACTCTAAGCTTCTGTTTCATTCATTCCACAAATATATATGGTGTCTCCTCTTTGCTGGACACTGTACTGGGCTGATGAGCTACAAGACCCAATCTTTACAGTCTAGGAGGCAGAGATAGATAAGTAAACAGAGGCGGCAAAGCGTGGCACTGTGAAAGATGCACTGAGGACACCGAGCTAGGTGTTCCACAGGCGTCAGGAAAGGCTTCACACAAGAGAGGTTGCTTGTGCCCAGTTCTAATTAGGATGAGTAGGTATTTCTGCTAGATCGTGGTGGGGTGGGGAGGACATCACATAGGACCTCAGCAGAGAGCAGCTCGAATCTATGCAGAGCTGCACGAGGAGCCGGAGGTCCAGAGTACTGCAGCAGTTTGACATTGATGGGTGGTAGGGTCCATGAAAGTAGAGGAAGACCAAGAGGAAGCAGCAGACAGGGGCCAGGCCAGGGCAGGGATAGGGTGCTCTACTAAAGAGCATGGGCTTTGAACTATGAGCAGTGGAGAGCCACTGGGGGTGTAAATAAGGAAACAGATATTCCAAATCCTGCCTTGGGAAGATTGTTCTGGCAGGAGTGATGGGAAAGGGGCCCTGGCAGAAGATTCCTTCATGCTCCTGCGGTGATCCAGGTGAGAGCTGCTGAGGACCCCAACCAAATCAGATCACTGGACCTCCACTGGGAGTGAAAGGGGGTGGTCTGGCCAGAGAGATAGTAAAGAGATGTAGTTAACAGGCAAGAGAATGTGGGGATATCCAGGGAGCTGTCCACAATTCGCAGGTCTTAGGCAACTGCTTGGGAGAAGTTGATGAGGTCATCACTGGACAGAGAATCTATTCCCTGGGCCCAACCAACTCTCTAGACCATCCTGCCATGTGCCTCTGAGAAGTGAGCTTCCCCAGCCAAGCCCACAGGAGGACATATGGAGCAAAGGTCAACAGTCACTCAGCTGATGGATGGCAAGCATTCAGATGGGAGGTGCCTCCACAGGCCATGATAACCCATGGATCCATTTGAGAAAGATGCCAAAAAACAGTTAATTCAAGGCCACTTTAAAATACCTGGCATTCAATCCTCCTCAATGTCTCCATCAACTGTAGACCCTATAACTACCAAATGAGCTCCACTCGCCACAAAGGTCAAGACACAGAAACGGTCAGAGAGCAGAGCCTATTCCTGAAAAGCAAAAGACTCCAAACTTCCACAACTCAACCAGTGAAGGGCTGGGGAAGACTGACAGGTTCACTAAGAAATGAGAGGAAGGACAAACAAGGTGTTCAAATTAGAAAATGATTCCATTAATGAGGGCTCTGATGATATAGTTGTGGAGGTTATCAGTTTGCCAGAGCTGCAGATTTAAAATACTTACATGGTCATCGAAACCAAAAAATGCTGACCATCCCCCAAAACCTCCCACCCCACCTAGTGCTGATAACAGGAGTTATCAGTTGCCTTTTGTGTACAGCTAGATGAGATATGGATCTGTGGGGGGAAGAAGGGGTGGGCGTGCTAGCATCTCTCAGCTAGACTGTCATCGGATGGTGACATTCCCCAGGACTCAAGCAGCATCTGAGAAGCCACTTTCAGTATGACTATGGAACAGCTAACCACACAACACAGCATACTGAATGAGGAGCCTCGCAGGCTGAGAAGAAAGCAAACCCGGAAGGCAACAAATGGATACGTGCATGCTGAAGGACTCGTGTTTAATTCTTCCCGGTAATCCTTTGTCAGGCATATATTTTTGTCTCCTCAAACTTAAGAAAGAAATCCATGCTCTGGAGGGGAGAAAGAGAGGCTGTACTCATTAACTCAGAGCTGACCTCGTCTGGCAGGATTAACTCGCCATACCTGTCCAGCCCACAGAACCTGGCCTGGAGCATGGAGGGAGAACCACAGCCAACTCCAGAAAAATAAAAGGCTGCAGCGAGAAACAAGTGGGGCCACAGAGAGAAAGGGGTTTTGAAAAAGTTCTAAATCCCCATGGCTAGGGACAGTGACATCAGTGTGTTTACCAAGTATTTGATTTACTTGCTCAGGCAAAATTCCAGAAGAGACACTGGGACCTGTGTGGAGAGTTTCTTCACTGCAGCTATCCTGCCAAGCTCATTGTAAAGTGACGAATTTTGTGGACACTTACAGAGAAAAAATAGCTTCAAATGCTATAGACCAATGCTGCACGCTGCAGAGACACAGTCTTTGGGTTCTGTGAGCTGTATTTGGGCATTACGCAGAGTTCAGCTGCCATCTGTCCCTTTGAAGGCCAGCTAAGAAGTTGGTCCCAGCCTGGGCATGGTACCACTGTCCTACATTCCAGCCATTTGGGATATCCTGGGTTCAAGCATTCCCTCCCATTGCTGGATCAAGCACTTCCCACCTCCTGCTCTGGGAAATCAGATCTCAGTAGGTCATCAACCATCCCAGAAAGTCCAGCAGAGTTGGTTTTGGTTTGGGGGTGTTTTTTGAGTTGGGTGGAAGAAGAGACCTTACATAATCTTTTAACTTTTTCTCTAAGGCTGAATTCCCTATAAGCAAAATTTTAAAATTTTTTTTAAAGAAGAAAAACACCCAGACAATCCTTAAAATCCCCTTTCAGCTCCAAGACTGTGTAATTCTGTGATACCAGTATTGAAAGCCCCTGCATTTCCCTAACTATATATTCCCCTATGCCAGGGAAAGGTGCATGTAAGTGAGAGAACAAAAAATTTCACAATCGTGGGGACCTCTTCTTTCGGCTTTGGAGCCCCCTTCCCTCTGTCTCTGTACGGGGCAGCTTTTTCCTTCTGTCTTCTCCCTTCCTTCTTGTCTACTAAACTCTCTGCGCCTTAGAACCAAAAATAAAAATTCAAAATCATGATCTTAGGGGTGAAAGAACACTGAGAAACCATAGAAAGCAAAAACGAAAAGCCAACATAGAAAAAGTCTGACTTGAATTAGAAGCAGCACTTAAAATTACAGGTTCAGAAAAAGCTTGAACAGAATCCAGGGCTGAGGTCAGCCCTGAGTCTGCAGGCTCTGCCCTCTCACAAAGGTGAGTAGATGGGTCTGGAGAGGGCTGTTCATGCTATGGAAGGGCCTCTATGCCATCGAGGCTAAAACCAAAGCAGGAGCAAATCAGCCCTGCTAGTGTGTACAGTCGGCATCAAAGAGGCAACAACGGTAGAGAATATTTTCTGAAAGACACACATGAAACCAGTAACGGCGATGGTCTCTGGAAGAATTAGGTCAGAAGCAGACTTAATTTGCACTGTGTACATTCTTTGGTATCCTTTTTAATTGAGCGCATGTGAATGCATTACCTATTCAAAAATAAATGTGTAAAAACACATGCCACGACAAAGCAAAATGAGGAGACAGTATAAAAAAGACAAGGATAATTTTAAATTTCTCCTAATAAAACGCTGTTTAAAAATCTAAGAGGAAAAAAGGGTAGGCTCCAGCTAGTGGAGAGAACAACTGAAAAACAAGAGCCACGTGTTCCCATGGTCCTGGCCAACCCCACTTCTTTCCCATCCTCACTCGTTCACATCTGCCTTGGAGCACCCACAGCAAGCCTGGCTTCATGCCCAGAACATCGCCTGGCTTTCCTCCTCTCTCCCTGCCCACATCTCCTCAGTCACTCGCTGCCTCCTCTCTTGCTTCTCTCCCAGTTCTCAGTTTGCCCATCAAATCTCAGGTGGTACTCTCCATTCTCTGCTATGAGGGAGTTCATTTGTTCATGCAATTTCCCCACCGGAGACAAAATGTATTTCCCAAAGTTGGCTTGCAATGACATCTCCCATGCCTGCTCTGCTTACCCATGACTTTGACACTCCTTCCATCGAGAGGGCAGAACCTGTGTTTCCTCTCTCTGAATCTAGGTGGGCTACAGCTCTGGTAGAAGTGACACTCTGTGACCTTAAGGCTAGGTCACAAAAAGGGAATGCAGCTTCTGCCAGCAATCCTGGGACACACACTTGGAGCCCGAGCTGCTGTGTAAGCCATCTGCCTGCTCTGAGCCCACCACACTATAAGGAAGCCCAAGCTAGCCCACAGGAGAGACGAGGTGAAGAGAATGAGATGCCAGTCTCCACTGCTCCAGCTCTCTAGTGTCCCAGCCCCAGCCACTATCTGACTGCAACCCCATGAAAGACTGAGCCAGAACCACGAGCCCAGCCCTTCCTGATGTTGACATACAGACTTCATGAAAGAGAATAAACTAATTTTTGCTTTAAGCCACTATGATTTGGGATGATTTGTTATGCAGCACTGGATAACTGCAACACCTGCTTCTAAACAGTAGAATCCCAAACGTCTAGGCCCCATCTCTAACTTACTTCATGTTCCTATTCTCACTGATTTTTGCCACTGAGCTTGACCAAGCCCTTGAGTCACCAATTCCAGATATTTGTTTAAACAAATTCACTGTGACTGTCTACACTATCCATTCCTCCAAAACAATCCCTGTTATAGTTGGCCTTCCCCAGTTCTCTTCCTGGCATAGAGTAGTCTGTGCCCTTCTCTCATTTCTTAATATGACCCTCACCCATGGAGTGTTCCTAGATTCTGCTCATTCATAATGCTTCTTCACCCACCCTAACCTCTCCCTCCTGTAGCCACAGATCATCCACTTTTCCAGGCCTCTGCACTGGAGGCTGCATCAGCCACCTCCCAGTACGTCATCCTTTCCAATGCCCTACAACACGGGGCAGAAAGGACTCTTTTTTGCTGCACATCCAGGCTGTTTAAGAAAAGGCTTAAGGCAGCTTAAGCACAAAGAATGTCATCTTCAAACATTGTAACGGCATCTTCTTTTTGGGGCACTGAAGTATTCCCATGATTCCAAGAATCAAATGAACAGCATCTGGTTATGGGGTCTCTGGTCTCTGCCAAGGCAAACTCATAAAGCATTTCAGAGCCCTTCATCTGGAAAGGCCTTTTCTCCACCCCACGCCCAGCCAATGCCCACTCATACTTTAAGGCCCAGCTCATCCGTCATCTCTGCTAGGGAACCTTCCTCAGTCAGTGCCTTATGCAGGCAACCATTCCTGCCTTGTGTTGTGTTGTGTTGTGTTGTGCCTTAAGTCAAATCCTTAACTCATCTTTGTGTGTCCCCTTGCATTTCAGACAGTAGGTGCCCAATAAATGTTTGTGGGATGAATCAACTGGTTATTCTCCTGGAACACCCTTTCCCAGTACACCTCCACTCGCCAGAACAACTGTCTTCCTCACAGGTGCCAGCCATCACCCCGACCACACCCTCTCAAAAGGCCTTTGCCAGTCATCAAACAAAGCCTCTTGTCTCCTGAGAGCCGCTCCACAATCACCTTCCCAAGAAGAATTCCCCATACCGAGTCCACCATTCCTTCCCTGATCAAAGTTGCTTTCACAGGCATCTTTTCAGCTATCCACTCTTCACGGCTTGGTTTTCATGCACTCTGAGTTGGCCCTATCTCCCCTTTTTGGCCTCAAGCACGTCAAGAGGAAGGCTGGTGACAGCCTTTCCCGAGCTCAGGACAGTTTTCATGCAAACTGGTTCTCCCAGGTTCTTATGCCTGGAAGAACTGCTGCTCTCCAATAGCATGAAGTAGACAATGATGTTCTTAGCATCCAGTCTTAAAACTAGAAAAAGTATTGGCACTGCTGGATCCCCAGCTCCTAGAATGGTGTGTGGCACCTGAACAGAGCTCAAAAATATTAGTTGAATGGAGGAAAGAATGAACAGTCATCTGGCCCAGACTTGGAGAAGCTGTGATCTGTCTAGCCCTTCTACACCAGGAGCGAGGCCTGAAAAGCTGCATGACTCACCCAAGGTCACGAGCAAGCCAGTGAAGAGGGGCTGGAACCCTGTCTTTTGCCTCAAAGCACAGGGCCCTCCTTCTGTCCCACCCAGCTTTCTCACCACCCACCCCACCCCTTCCACACTCCAAAGACAGCATCTCCGTGAGAAGTGTTGGGCAGTGTCCAGGAGTGTTTTTCTTCCTGGCTTTAAAACAAATTGTGACAAATGGCTCCACAGATCTACCGGGCCATGGAGCTGAGCAGATGGGACTGCAATTCACGCTATTAACTCAAATTCTACTTGACTTTCTTTCAAATCAGGGCATTTTATCTAGAAATTATAAAAAATTGTTGGGGGAGTGCCTTTGTAAGGAAGTTTGCCAGCACATTCATTTACAAATCGACTTGCTCCTGGCCACCCTCACTGATCACGGACTTTTACTCACGCTCCCTTACTCTCTCCCATCAAAGAGTCCAGCGCATGGAGAGAGTGATGGAATCTTGAGGCCCACCGGTCTAACCACCCACCTAAGCTTGACTCCCCTGTGCCTGTGGACATCCTGCGTGCAGATGCACATTCCCACTAATGGCAGCCAGGGGAAAGCACTATTCGAAAGTTCTTCTTTACTTTGAACTCAAATTGGGCTCAGGGGTCCTGGATACAGGACAACCCCAATCTCTTATTTATTCAATGGACAACAGGTGAGCACATACTAGGCCTGGACACTGATGTAGGTAGGCACTAAAGCTTCAGAGAGATGCAAACGAGCAATCTTTACCCTGAAGGAGCTCATGTTCTATGGGTTCATTTCCTTTCCCTGTGTCTTACAAACAGGTTCCAGTTTGTTTCCGTCCTTCAGAGTGTACTGCCTAGAACTGCATGCTATTCTCCACAAGTGGCCTGACCAGCTTGTGGACAAGGATGAAGCAAGCAGACCACCTTCTTTCAGTGCAGACAAGATGGCTGTTTAGAGGCCACATCACGTGGCAGACACCTGCCAACTAAAACCCTCCATCCTTCCCACAGCCTCCCCCTCCTACACTTTGCAGCTGGATTCAAAACCTTGCATTCACCCTTGTTCCATCAACAGGGCCAGGCCATCAGTCTATCTCATCCGGACTGTTTTTTATCTTACTTGCCAACCTACACACTTGCTGTTCCTTCTTGCCTTAAAGTCATACAGATGACTTTAGGTGATTCAGATGAGTGTGACCTCTACTTTCACCAAACACAATAGTCAATTCAGAAAGGTCAAGGACAGAACCCTCCAGCATGCTAACGCAGCCAAAGAAGTCCGAAAACAATACTTGGCCACACTGTTTTCCTGCTTACGGATGTGGACTGCTCTTGTCCTGCCTGTAAATATATCGGATCGCTCTCCTTCTTGCTGGCATCCACAGTAACTATACTCAATAAACACACCAACTTTGATGCCAAATCCTAGGCCATCCCACACATCTTAAAAATAAAACAAAAATATGCTATTCCAGCTACCCTCACTCTTTTTGTGGTTTCCTGCAGTCCAACTAGCTACAAATCTCAAAGCCAAAGATTGTAGCTCCCTCCCTTTTGTTCTTTCATCAAGCCAGGGAGTCCTGCTCCTCTCTCTCTAGTCTCTCCTGTGTCAGTGCCACTTGTCAACTGCCTAATCCAGCCACGCTGCTCTTCAATAT
Organism: Homo sapiens; assembly: GCF_000001405.40. Lineage (NCBI taxonomy): Eukaryota > Metazoa > Chordata > Mammalia > Primates > Hominidae > Homo > Homo sapiens. The sequence goes on along the minus strand of NT_187386.1, from coordinate 44,599 downwards.
TAAAGGTCTTCAGCATATTTTAAAGTTAGTCTCCTACTGCCACTCTTTTCCCTACTCTTGCCAGTCCACTCAGTAAACTACTGCCATACAGGTCTCCCACAGCAGTTTCTCACCAGATAAACAATGGCCGGAGATTCCACTTTGCCAATCACATCAAGTCCAAACTCCGTGTCTTGGTATCCAAGGCTTCTAAAGTCTGGCCCCACTCCACCTACTCACTCTGACACCCACCACTCCCTCCAAACATCCCCGGTACGTCTTACTGGATTTTGCCATTTCCTCCAAGTTGACCAGGAGTCATTCACACCTAAAGGCTATGCTTACATCGTTTTCCATCTCTTGTGTTGGTGAGCTAAAAACAAGATGGAAAAGAAAAAAGAAGAGGAAGAGAGAAAAAGAGAAAAGGAAGAAATGGGGAAAACAGCAATAGGACCAGCTAACTCCTACAGCAGAGTCTTGCCAGGCCCTCCCCTAATTGCTTTATATGTGTTACAATGTTTAACCCTCACAACTACAACAGGAGTTGGGTACCATTCCATCCCCACCTGCAGATGAGTGTGGCACCCCAAGATTAAGTATCTGCCCAGGGTCACGTGAAAAGTCTGCATGCATGCTGAACCATTCCAGCTGCACCACTGCCCAGGAAAAAAGTCACAGGTAGGAAGACAAGCATAGAATTAAGAACAAAGCAACTAACTGTACCAGGTGCTACAGAAGGGTGGTCAGCCTGGAAAATCAGGAGGTGCATTCCTTGGGAGATTGCCGCAATCAGAGTCTGGGAGTATGCAGGAGCCTGGCAGGCAGCCCAGGGACAGGTGAGGCACAGGCACTCATTCCCTTCCATGTGAGAAGTCAGGGCACGTGCAAAGCCAAGGCCAGAGGACAAAGGTGAGCTCGCCAATAGGGCCAATACTGGGTCTGGCTGGAAGGGGAGGGTGGACAGAGATGGGTACTAAGAAGTGAAGATGGACAGGCAGGACCAGGTCTTAAAGGGTTTGTGTCTTGCTAAAGATGGACCCTTAATTCCGTGACACATCTATTCAACCACTCCTCATTATCTACCTAAATTCTACTGTGCCTTTGCAAAGCCCAGCTCAAGTCCTTTTTCCTCTCAGGCCTGTCCTCCCTACTCCTGAGCAAACCACAGGTGTGGAGACAGGTCCCAACCACCTGCAGATGACAGAAGGAAGCTGCATCTAGGATCGGTCTACACAGAGGCAAGAAGGGATCCTCCTCCTCTGCCTTCTCCTTTCATGCTGTTCTTACCTTCTCTCAAAAAGAAAGAAAATACAGTGTCATTGCTTCTTCCCTAAGCTTGTTAAGTCAAAGCAAGTCAAAGCATCAGAGCTTCATTACTTGGCTTTTTCTAGCTATAAGCGTCTGGAAAATATCAGGAGTCACTGGCCTCTAGGAATCCATTAAGCTAAAGGAGCTCCATGATCTACTATCATAAGATGACAAAGAAAATATGCACTTTCTTTGGGAGGTCAAGTTGGGCGAATCACTTGAGGTCAGGAGTTCAAGACCAATCTGGCCAACATGGTGAAACCCCGTCTCTACTGAAAACACAAAAATTAGCTGGGCTTGGTGGCAGGCACCTGTAATCCCAGCTACTCAGGAGACTGAGGCAGGAGAATCGATTGAACCCTTACCCAGGAGACAGAGGTTGCAATGAGCCGAGATGGCACCACGGCACTCCAGCCTGAGCAACAGTGTGACTCCATCTCAAAAAAAAAAAAGAAAGAAAGAAAGAAAGGAAGGAAGAAAGAAGAAAATATGCATTTTCTCAGGATTAAATAACAAAAAATGCCAAGTTTCTTAGCTCCAGTCAAGAAAATGACATCATGTGACAACAGCAGCCATTGCAAGTTTATCAGAAGATGAACAATTACAGATTTTTCATTTCTGAATAAGGAACCATTTACACAGACACATGTATAACAAATGTCTGTGCACATCCAGGACTTGTCAAATCTTAACATTTTGCCACACCTGGTTTAGTTTTTTTATTTTTCCTTTCAAGAAAGAAAGCATTACAGGCTGTGCTTCAATCCCTATTTCACCCCCTTTCAAGCCCCACTATTCCACCCATCCCAGAAATGACAACATCCCGAATTTGGTATTTACCACTCTTGCACATTTATTTTTATGCTTTTACTACCTATGTATGTAGCCATAAACAATATACAGAGTTTTTGGATGCTATAAAACTGTTTAAAATGGCATCACACTGTATGCACCCTTTTGCATCTGTTTTAATTGACAAAACATTTTTGAGGGTAATCCTTGTTGACATATGTCACTCCAGGGCATTCCTTTCAACTGCTTTATACCATGGTCCACTGTCTGGATAATCATTATCTATAGCACAATGTATTCATTTTCCTACTGATAAATTTTTAAGTGGTTTCCAACTTTTCATTGCAATAAATATTCTTGTAAATCTTCGTCCAAGGTTATCTTCAACCACACTAGGCATTGCCCAAATTGCTCTGCAACATCAGTGCACCAATTTACATTGCCAAGATCAGTGTTTAAGTGTTTCTATTCTTTGATGTCTTTGTCAACCTTGGTACTATTTGACTACTACACTTTTCACCAATCAGATATAAGGATGAAATGGTGCCTTCTTGGTATTCTGAAAATTAATTTTAAATGGGAAAATAAATTACTAATAAGTGCAGCTTAATCAACAAGAGTTTTCATTAACATGTGGGAATACACCAGGTGTTCCTTGGATTTTCTTGAAAATTCTACAGGGAGGGTACGGGAGTGACGGTACAGATAAGATTGGACATGAGCTGATAATTGTTGGAACTAGGTGATGAGTGTATGAGGGTTAATTATTCTGCTCTCTCCACTTTGGTACATATTTGAAATTTTTCACAATAGAAATTAAAAGAAGAACGGGGCGTGGTGGCTCACGCCTGTAATTCCAGCACTTTGGAAGGCCATGGCAGAGGATCACTTGAGGTCAGGAATTAAAGACCAGCTGGTCAACATGGGGAAACCCCACCTCTACTAAAAATACAAAAATTAGCTGGGTATGGTGGTGTGTAATCCCAGCTATTGAGGAGGCTGAGGCACGAGAATCGCTTGGACCCAGGAGGCAGAGGTTGCAGTGAGCCAAGATCGTGCCACTGCACTCTAGCCTGGGCAACAGGGCAAGCCTCTGTCTCAAAAAAAAAAGAAGAAGAAGAAGAAAGAAAACAAAGAAGAAAGAAAGAAAGAAAAAGAAAGAAAGAAAGAAAATTAAAAGAAGGAAATGCCATAAAGCATCTGGAGCAAAGAACATCCAAAGAAGAGCACTGATCACTGCAGCAGACAGCCGTTCAGAATGGGCAGAGAGCAGAGCTGGCAGGAAGAGAGGACAAAAGGAAGACCAGGAAGGGAAGCCAGGAAAAGAGATTTTGCATTGTGTTATTATTTCAATCAGAAGACTTAGGAACATTATTTAATTATCAAATTTGTGTGTCTGATGATCCTTTACAACACTGCAGCATCAAATAAAGTGTTATCAGATTTCTTTCTTTTTTTTTTTTTTGAGACTGGGTCTGATTCTGTAGCCCAGGCTGGAGTGCAGGGGTATAATAATAGCTCACTGCAGCTTCAAACTCCTGAGTTTGTTTGTTTGTTTGTCTGTTTGTCTGTTTGTTTGTTTGGAGAGACAGCGTCTCGAACTCCTGGGCTCCAGTGATCCTCCCACCTCAGCCTCCCAAAGTGCTGGGATTACAAGCATGAGCCACTGTGCCCCAGCCCAACATCTGATTTCAAAAGTACTATTGATATTATAATCACCATTAAAAATCACTGAAGTTTTTGTCACCCAAAGTTTTACTTTGAAATATAGAACATTTCATTTTTTTCCCACACACCTCACATCTGATTTTTGATTTTTAACATGTGCATGAATTACCTCTTATTAGAAAAAAAACCACAAAATTTTTTGGTAAAAGAATTATCCTTAAGTGGGTATTTTTTCCCTAAGTCTGAAATGACTTAGTAAGGATAAGAGGTCAAACCATATGCTTTGTAGTGAAACTGCAACTATGATGAATAACATTAGAATTCTGGATGCCTTCCAGCAGCTGGAACAGGGCAGACCTGAGGCGGGAGTCCTCATGCTTAGGGGAAGGGGCTCAGGCACTGGGAGTCGGTCAGGGCTCCCAGGATGTAAAAGATACACATGAAAGAAACAAACAGTGGGACTCGGGCCAGTGCAAAATTTGGCCTGGAACTGAGCTAAAAACTGTCATACTGGTGGGAAGAAGCAGATTGGTTCAACAGGGTAACCAAATGTGAAAAAGAAAAGCCTCACAAGAATTAAAATTGATGGTTGGAACTGGGCGCTCCGAGGCTGTGGGCCGGTGTCCTGCCCCGAAGGGTTTGGCTGCCAGCAGGTGCAGCGCTGCCCTGGGATACCAGCTCCTGGGATGCGCTGTAGTATCATCAATCACCGGTGCTGCTCGCTGGGCCTTGGAAGCACACAGTAGTAGCAGATGTCAGCAGGGGGCCACCAGGGCCACCTGCCAGTGAGCCCACTGCTTAGCTGAGTCATGGTCAAGTTTCTCTGCAGATTGTTGCCTGAAAATATTTCACCACCTGGAACCTCCCTGTCCCACCCATCTTCACTTGCAATACTCACTCCCCTCACCTCTGCCCCTAAAGCAATTATTCATTAACCACAGGGATCCACCATCCAGGAACAAAAGAGGCTTGAAAGCTCTATCTGTGCCTGCACTTCTTGGTCCAAAAGGCGCAGGGGGATGGGGGAGAGGCACCGGGGTCATGGTGCAGGCTCGGCTGTTGAGCCTCATTCCCCAAACACAATGTGACAGGTATCAATAGTTCTGGAGTTGATCATTTCACAGAAAGGAAACTGCTGTCAACCTGCCCAAGGCCACACAGCTAGTCCTGGATAAATTGACTTAAAGAACCCAGGTCTCTGATTCCCAAATCAGTGCTCTTACCCCTCCCACGCCACCTCTCTCTTCTAAAGATCCACCCAATGGAACTGCCCCAGGGCTGGTATCCCAGCTACTTCTCCATTCATGCCGCAGGTCAATGATTCAGGGCGGACACTCCTCAAGTGACCTTCAGAGGCCCTGACTCACTCCTCCGACAGTCCTTTGTGTCTGGACTCCCAGCCGCTCCTCAGCAGCTCTGTCCTCTTTTGTACATTTATTACTGTCAGCCTGAGGCTAGCAGGAGGTCTCAATGCCTGGTGATCTGAGGCCAGCCTGTCCCAGGCCCTCCCAGTCCCGTGAGGTCCTCCTGGGGATGCAGGCACAGCGACTGACAAGGATAAGGAGCAGAAGGGCAGGTGGCTTTCTGGGTATGAGCTTGGCCTTCTGCCACACCCATGCTCAGAAAGGTGTCTACGGGCACGTCTTGTGTTGTCACAGGTGTAGAAAGGGCTTTGACACGCGGCAGATCCTCCAATCCCTGTGAAAGAGGGATCATTCTTTCTATTATACAGTGAGGACGCTGAAGTCCAGAAAGGTCAGGTGACTGATGAAAGGTCATAAAATTAGCAGGAATCAGGGAAAGGGCAGGAAAGCAGAGCTTCCAGTTGCAAGGTCAGGACTCTTCAGCCCAGCAGGCGAGTTTGCCAGCCAGTCTGTGCCCTGGTCTCTGCCCTCCCCAAACACGTGCACCAATTTGGAGGGGCTGCTCCCAGCACGCATGCTGCAAGATAAACTTCAGTGCTCAGCCCTCTCACTGTGACAACAATCCCTTAGAAAGGGGTCCACGCTGTCCATCTGGGCCCCTACACCAAAGAACACCTAATTATCAGTGGTCCTCACTCAGGAAACATGCCCACAAATAAAGACAAAAGTAAACCCAACTACACATTCCTCAAAATCCTCCTCTCCATTTCACAGAAACACCACAACAGAGCAGAACTGCAACCTGATAGCATCCCTGTCTGGTTTTGGCTCTTTCAAAACATCAGGGACCTCACAGGAAAGCAATGCAGAAAACTGCAGTCATTTGGCCGCTTGTTAAGGAGAGCCCTGAGCAGCAAGCTCCAGACCGGAGATGCGCATATAACAGCAGCAGTTCCACACAGCCCTGCACAGCAGCAATTCAGCCTCTGGCAGCTGTGATGATGCTGAGGCAGTGTCCCCACTGCCCCAGTGGCTTCTGCATGCAGGTTCATTTGGGACAGGACACCTCTAACTCCATCTCTGGCCAGGAGCCAGCATAGTAGGTGCCGTGAAAGCCAGGAAGTGAACTGCACAGAATGGACTGTTCCAGTGTCCATGGGCTGCAAGTGGGTCCCACGTCACCCACAGGTGAATCTTAATTATGAACCAAGGTGACGGCAGAGAGGATGGGCAGCAAAGGAGGGTGTGTGTGGTGATCAGCCATCAGAGGAGACGGCCCTGTGTGATGAAAGGACCTCCTCAGGAAACCTCCCCACCAGCAACTGGCTCCAAATGGTCAGACTTTCCAAGAAATTCCTGTGAAAAGGACAGGCTCAGGGCATGTGAATGTGATAGTCAGCAATTCGCACCTCAGCAGCCAGTGACACTATGGTATAGGGAAAAGAACCTAGATTAGGCATCAAAAGTACCCGGTCCCCTTCATACATGGCTGGTGGGGAGGTAGGATGGTGCAGCCACTTTGGAAAACAGTCTGGTAGTTTCTTTCAAAGTTATCAAATGACCCAGCAATCCCACTCCTAAGTATTTACTCAAGAGAAATAAAACCTGTGTCCACACAAAGACTTGTACACATCCTAATAGCTGTATTCATAGTAGCCCCAAACTGGAAACAACCCAAATGCCCATCAGTTTGTGAAGAGATGGACAAAATGTGCTATATCCATAAAACGGAACCCTACTCAGCAATAAAAAGGTGTGAACTAGATACACACAAGAACATGGAGGGATCTCAAAAGCACTGTGCTGAGCGAGAGAAGCCAGATTCAAAGGGCTACACACTGTAGGATGCCATGTGCATCACATTCTGTACAGTGCAAAACTGTAGTGGCAGGATTCAGGTCCCCTGAGGCTGGGGTCCTGGAGGCAGGAGAGAGGCTGGTAGCAAGGAGGCACAAGGGAACTTTCTGGGGACAGAGGAGTGGTCCATATTTGATAGGTGGTGGTTATGTGGCTGCTCATGTTTGTCAACAAAGAATTACATATTTTAAACTGGTGAGTTCCGTTGTATGCAAGCAAATTATACCACAATGAAGCAAATCTTTAAAACACTAGGTTCCTTTTCTTTATCTAGAGCTCAAAGTAGTGGCCCATGCTGGCTATGACTTGGAGAAATCACACAAGCTTACTGGGTCTCAACTGCTTCATTTGTACAGGTGGCTGCATAACACTCCCCGGGCAGGGGAACTGTAGGGATGAAATCAGCAAATGTGAGTGAACACACAGAGGAAGCAACACATAGGCCTTCCCCAAATACCCACTTCTGTTTTCTTTCCTCAGTGTGAGTAAGTGGCTCTAATGATCCACAAACCTTCCAACCAGCCAAGTCAAGGACCAGCAGGAGGACTCAGGAAAGTACTGAAATGCTGGGGAGAACCAGGACAGCGGCTGAGCACAGCCAGACAGGGAGGGCAGCCTGGTGGGGCCCTGGGAGCCATGGACGCGACTGCGCTGGGAGTGGGGATGGGAGATAGCAGGAGTTGGTGGGTGGGGCACAAAGTGGGAGCCAGGGCCAAATTGCTGCTGATTTGACCATTTTGCAAAAGGCCAGCCTGGCTGTGGCCTCAGGCCTCTCATTTCCTCTACCATAATGAGGGGTCACGGAAGTGCCTTCCCACAACTGCAGCATCTCCCTCCACATTTGGGCTCAAATACAGAGTGGGGCCGGAGACAGAAAAAGTCTCCGTGACACACTGTGATTTGTTTCTGCACTGTGTGAACCCTTGGCTCTGTGACACAGAACACAGGTTTCAGCAGTTCCTGTCACTTCCCACAGGCGAAACAGACAGAGCATTCTTTTGTCCGGCTTCTGGTGAAACGCCATTATCGTTATTTTTAGGAGGAAGATGGAGAATTGGGGTGGGTCCCCACAAAGAGGATGGATTCAGGAGACTTCCAGGAACCTTAAACGGCTTGGAAACTAATTGTGCCAGTTCTTTTTGATGTCTAATTTTACTCTAAAATTTCCTCTCAGCACAATATATTAATACTGATCAGCCAAGAGAAGGTTAGGTTTTGGCTCACAAATAGTCAAGGAGAGAATCTCCTTCATTCATTGAGAAGGCAGAAGATGGCGTTAAAGAGTATTCACAGGTAACTAAGATTGCCAGAGGGAGAATCGAGTGAGTTGTCAGTGGTGAAATACAGAGGAGGTAGAGAGAGCTACACTGAGACAACAAAGGCAGCTTAAGGGAACAAAGCCAGCTAAGGGAACAAAGCCGGGGTCCCTCAGGTCTGTGGCCACCGGCTCCAGCCAGGACAGCCTGGTAGCTGAAGAGCACGTCCTTGCCCGTTACATGCCTGTGTTTCAAGTGATGCTAACTTGCTAATGCAGATATCTCCCCAAACCCTGCCCCTGGCTCACCACCCAGTGAGCAATCACTCACTTTCCCCAGGACACCTTCAGGGAGGTACTCTGCCAGCACCGCACACTTAAACAGCTACTGCAGGTTCTTCTCTCAGACGCAGCACGGTTCCTGAGATGACGTCAGCGCTGCTCGCTGAAAGCACCAGGCAAGGAGGCAAAACAAAGGAAATCCTAAAGAGCAGGCGAGAGAACAGTGGAACTGGCAGAGAGAGGCACTGGTGCGGATGGAGAGGGCAGCAATAAAAACTGGGGGACACTTAGAGGCAAAGGTATGGCAGGTGACAAAAAAGATGAGCTGAAGCTCAGGAGAGACCCAGGCAGCGATGCCCAAATGACCGGCTGAGGAATCACCTCACTGCTGCTGATGCCCTTGACAGCAATGTCTGAGGCTGGCGTGAGTGCTCCATGCTCAGAGATACCTAGAACCCAGCTACAATGGCCTTATCAGACTGAAACAAGAACACCAAGATATTCCAAGGGAGGTGACAATGGGGTCCAAAGGTTGTGCATTTATGGATCACAACTATGTGCTGAGTGTGGCCCAAATCCCAGCTCCATATGGTCACACCATGTCTACAGCCAATCAGCTGACCGGGGTGGCAACCCCTGGCTCTGCTCAACAATAATGACAACCATCATTTACTGAGCACTTACTATGTGCCAGACCGATGCTAAGTGCTTTCCTCAGATGTTTCCATTTAACTCTTAGAATCACCCTAATGAGTATCTCCTATTATTTTACAGATGAGGAAATGAGAGTTTAGAAAAGTAACTTGCAAAATCATACTGCTGGCTCCATAACAAATGTTGATTGAATGTTGTCTGGGTGGACAGAGGCAAGGATGACCGGAACGAGACAAACAAACAAAAGGCTGACTGACAGACCATTCGGGTAGCACTTTTCCTGGGATTAAGCTTAGACCTTGTAGGCCTATCAGCCAGAAGCAGTGTGTAAAATAAGAGTGGCTGACTGGGCACGGTGGCTCAAGCCTGTAATCCAAGCACTTTGGGAGGCCAAGGCGGGAGGATCACCTGAGGTCAGGAGTTCAAGACCAGCCTGGCCAACATGATGAAACCCCGTCTCTACTACAAATACAAAAATTAGCCGGGTGTGATGGCACACGCCTGTAATCCTAGTTACTCGGGAGGCCGAGGCAGGAGAATCGCTTGAACCCGGGAGGCAGAGGTTGCGATAAGCTGAGATTGGGCCACTGCACTCCAGCCTGGGCGACAGAGCAAGACTCCCTCTGAAAAAAAAAAAAAAAAAAAAAAAGAGTGGCTACCCAAGAACGCAACAGCAGCAGCAAACACTGATCTGATGACACCCCAGTTTTGCAGAAGAGGAAGGAAACATAAGAATGTCAACTCTCCATTCAACAGAGAAACAGTGCCACCACTGTCTTTAAATTTTCAAACTTATCAAGAAAAGCTCCAGAGAGGCCAGTGCCAGCAATGCCGGCTGTCTCCCAAGTCTGAAGGGTTTTCCTCTGGGTATTAGGAGTTGAGGTGTTTGGTTAGAGAAGAAACAGGATGCACGGGAGATCACACACACAGATTAAGAGGTGCCTCTCAAATGCCTTTCCCACGTTTCTAACTCTGCTTTTTTTAAAGCACGATCAGACCCGCCATCTGCACTTTTACCTGCTGCCTGACGAAAACCAGATGCCAAAGGCCTCCCAGCACTCACGGGGCCCTTTACCCTTAGGAAAACACCGTGATTCAGCCAGGCCAGATTGATGCAACATTGTAACAAAGCGTATGCAAAGTGCCTAGCTCCGGACTGCTTGCAGAAAAGGCACATTTTGACTCTTCTGAGAGTGGGAAAGATTTGAAAGATGGGATTTGCACCTTATTCTTATTCAAGTCTGGAGATCTGGAACTTCTTCCTGAAGCTCCACGTTTAGCCAGATAATTGAGACGCTCCACCTGGTCACCACTGGACACCAGCCACCCAAACATTCTCCTCTGCAAGGCACTTGGCATTCTGGTGCCTGTGGAGAGAGCAGCCTTCTCACTAGCACAGCTCATGAACAAGGATCCCCTTCCCTGGACAGCCAAGATGTAAACCTGCCCCCAGAAACACTGAGAGTCCTAGAGGTAGAATGAGTCGGCCAGCAAGCTCCAGCCCATTGAATGCAGACCCCTGAGCAAATCAAGTCAGGAGAAGGTGGACAACTGTACCCTGAAGACCACATACCACCCAGACCCAACACAAATAGCTGTCAGCACTGCCACCCATTACAGCTTCAGATCTCGCTTCTACCAGCATTTCCCAGCTGAGCAACAACCGTCAAAGTCTGGTCCTGGAAGGACAGCCCTCCCCGTCTTGGCAGCCACACTTTCTGGCCCTAGCCCAAGGCTGCTGTGGCATGGGAGGAATCAATGGAGGAATACATGGCTCTTCCCTGGTTCCTTCCTCTCCCACTTCATTGACTAACACTAGTCACATGGCCCCAACTGAACTGTGAGGGAGGCTGGAAAATCTGGAGTATGTGCATGCCTAGTGAGTTGCCTCTACCACATCCTCTTAACCCTTGGCCTCTCATTCCCAAAGTCTAGCCCTATTTTCAAATGAATTCAACGCCTCATTACTTAGATCTTTCCTCATTACCTCAAAGCCATAGTGGCAAAAAGCAAACAGCATCTTCCTAAAATCTTCCTCTTCCATCTTCCTCTCCTAGATATCCATCTTACCCTTCTTTGCCAGTTAATTTATTACAATCTTCCTTTGACAGCTTCACTCCCTCCCCGCACTGCTATCAACTCAAATGTGAGTTATTTCAGTAGCTTGAGCTTGTCACTGGCCTTTTACTTTTTTCCCCTTCCAAAGAACCTGGTACCCAGCTACTTAATCCTTATCCTTCTTCCCAAGGCCCACTTTCATTCCTTTCTCCCCCATTCATGAGCCTGCAATACTTTTCCCGCTGCATAAGTCACGTGTCACCATATAAACTCACAATTTGAGGTGCTCTAGAATCTGTCCATGGAATTAGTCAGGACATAATCTCCCTGTTTTTCGGCAGTGCCACATCCATACCTGTCTTCACAGGTTTGCTCATGCCACCATTCCTTTCCCCAGAACGCCCTTCTGCTCCTCCCACACAAATCCTAACCCTCCCTCAGGACCCATTTAAAATACAATCTCCTCACTCAACTCTTTCCTACCAACTTGCTTTCCCCTCTCCTTTCTGCCTTACCACAAAGCTAAGCTCTGTCTCTGAATAATGTGCTTTTTGATGATAATCTGAATGGTACAAGAAGAAATCCTATTTCATGCTCCTTTGAGGGAGTGTCTAATATAGGTTGCCTTCGACTATAAGTAATAGAAAATTCCCACTCAACTGGCTTCAACAGTGAGGACAAAATGTATGGAGATTGGACGGTTCAGTCTTCAGGGGCTTGGCCCTCAGGGTTTTTCCCATCTCTTCCCGTCTGCTGGCCTCAACAAACCTGCTTTCCTCATTGCAACAAGATGGCTGCTTCACGTCCGAGAATCTAGTGAAAGAAGCTGTCCCTTCTGCATTTCCTTTTACAAGGAAAAACATCTTTCCCAGCATCTCCCAGCAGACTTCTCATACCTCAGTGGCCAAAACCATGTCTAAACTACGGGCCTCCAGGATGGGCTCAGCTCAATCAGCACATACCCTAGAGCTGGAGGCAGGGTCACCTTTCCTTGAGTGGCGTGTGGGAGAGGTGTGGCATCCAACCCAACTGGGTCCTGCCAGCAGGAAGAGAAAACAAGAGCCACTGTAGGTAACCAATCACGTCTACCACAGGCAGGGACCAATACCACATATCTGTGTTTCCCCTCACTTGCCACCCCCATCCTGTGCTGGCAGATGAGGATGCTCAACAAATAGCTGTGGAACTACAAATTATCCTGTGGGTGTGAGAAAAGAGTGTGCATTATAATAGGGTGGTACAATTGGACATGTGTGCACGGAAAATGGAAAAACAGCCATGAAATCCAAACAGATGCAAAAACGTTCTTAACACAGAAGGTTTGGGAAGCTCTGATCTAAGCCCTAGCCTGGGCCCTACTCCCAGTTCCACAGATAGGGAGCAGGCCCCAGGCCAGAGTGCTGGGCTTCTCCCAGCAGGATCCAGCTGGGGCTTTCTCCTCAGTTCAACCCTTGCCTCTGAGGACCAGTGGTCTACAGTCCAGCCCACAACCCTTCAGACAGAAGTTCCAGGCACAAAAAGGAAGCTCACAATAAGGAACGCCCATGCCTAGCCATAACTGAGCGCATCACAGACTCACACAAATCTGTGGAATGAGTGCATGATCTCATGAGCTCTGGTCTGGAAAAGTAAGTCTCCCTACACTAGGACTTAAAGGGAAGGCTTCTTTGGCTATGCCAATATCTTTCCTGCCACTTTCTTCTTCAGGCCAAACAGCTCCTATCCCTGCCTTCCATCTTAGCTTTCCAGCATACTCTTCCCAGGTTCTTTGGGCTACTGACAAGCACTCCAGACCCAAATACACATGCTCCCACCTGAGGCTGGGAAATGTACCAAGAACTGCATAGAAAATATACTGGACAAAAGGCACTCCAGTCTCACAGATCTCCAGTCCCACAGTCTATATCACCAGTTTTAGCTGTTTGAAGTTTTAGAATTCCTTTTCAAAACCATAGCTAGCATTTCTTTGGCTAGAGAAAACTGTGTGAAATGCAGCCTACCATAGGATCACTGATTACAACATGCATTCAACATTCAATACATATTGACTGAGCAACTATTAGGTTGAACTATGTGACATTATTGACATTCGACTGCTTCTGACCTATCAAAATGGCAATAAAGCTCAACTTAATATTTACTCTATGCCAGGCAGTAGGCTAAGGAAGGATTTGGGACACCATGACAAACAACACAGAAGTAACCCCTATCTTAATGGAACTTAAAATCTAGTTGATTAAACCATTACTTACAAAAGTACAATCTAACTTCAGGATTGTAATTAATTATAAATGCATTTATTTGTTTACTGCCTGACTTCTTTGCTAGCCTATAAACTACACAAAGATGAGGGTTATGTCTCCTCCATTTCACACACTGGCAAAGCATATAGCAGAATACATCATATATTTGTTAAATGTATTGATTAGTGTTACAACAGACAATTGCATGTGCTATGGAAGCGTTTGGCAGAGAGATCTAATCTAATCTTGGAAGGTGAGGATCCTGGCCATCACTAACTTGGAATTTCTGATACTGATGATATAAGGTTGAGTTATGTCTTCATGAAACAGGTCTCTATACAGCATATAAACAACTACCAGCATGCACAGGGGTTCCGTAGGGACTATTTAAAATACTTAAGGGAACAAACGGTTTTCAAGCTCAGTCTAGTATTTCAGAAATTCCATTTACATAAACAATTGGTGCACTAATTGCAAATCATTCTTATTTCTCTCCTAAAGCAGGATCCCCTAAGGATCTTTATTAGGCATTCTATTAGCCTAGTTTGAGTTACAGTATTTACTTAAAAGTAATAACAGTGAAGTTCTTGAAAAATATTTGGTAATTCAGACATTTTACTAATTCAAACTAATCTTCCTCATTAGTCTACGTTGTTAGAGGTTTAACCATTGTATTAAGAGAAAGTATCAAAGGCTTCACTTAGAGTAATAGTCACCAAATTTTTTTGCAAGACACCTTGGTAGCAGGAACCTGAGCTAACATCAGGAGGTAGGTAGAAATAGAAAATAAAGGAATGACAATTTGAAGAGCAACTGCAATCCAATTTAGTCCAACAGATGACACACATATGAAGTCACATTCAAATTATAAGCAGAGCACAAAAATATTTTAGATCCTTATCTTTTGATTAACCTGGTATCATTCAGGGAAAAATGTCAGGGAACACCACTGACCAGCAGTCCTCTCTTATCTATTTTGCAGATCTTATCTATTTTTCTCCCTGAGAACCAGCCCTGGACACAAACTGCATAAACATCAATGAGCCTAGACAGGGTCTTCATGTGTGTTTGGCCTGCCATTGTTCTCTGTACCAGTACGGAGATTTAGTAACACACTGGTCACATTCATGGGGCATCTTGAACTCTCTTGACATGGTAAATGAACAGCAGGTCCTGTTCCCATGCCAAAAGCAAACAAAAACCTGTCACCAGCAAGGAAGACACCCAGTCTCTCCAAAGGATGCCAAAGTCCACATCCAGCCTCCTTTGCAGAGCCTCACAAATCTCTCGGATGCAGGCAGGATGATCACGGGCTAGGGAAGATTATGCTCTGAATGTCTTAAGAGATTAGTTACTTAAAATCCTCCACATGACTTCAGTCATCCCCGTTGCAGATCACAGAGTAAAAAGCCTACCTGATTAAAGCTGAATGCCTATACATTTGCAAAAGGGAAAATATGCAGAAGAAAACGAGAGTCAGATACTGATGGGCATAGCACCAGCTCTAGGACATCAGAGGTGTTGAATAAATGATGACAAGGAGACACACATAGTTCTGATATATTCACCATAAATACCACAGTCCTCAAGGCTCTCTCAATTACTTACTTCCCCCCAAATCAGAGACTGAATCTGGCCTTATCTTCAAATGAGGCCCAGCTCTCCCCAAATTCCAAATATGGGAAATTACAGCTCCTCTGTGGTAGGGGGAAGAGTGGGAAGGCGAATGTTTGTATTGCATAACGTTTTAATTAAAACAAAGATGACGTGCACCAGAGTCTCTTTCTCATCTCCTGTTAGGGGCGTTTTCCAGTACTACTTCCACCCTTTACCCACCCAGGTCACCATGGTCTTTTTCTTCCCTCTAGGACAATTCACCTTTAAAATAAGAGGATTGGGCAAGAAATCTACAAAGATTTTTCCAAAATGAACTCAGGCCTAGAGGCATATTAGTTCTCTATCTTGTTGCTCCCTTCTAGAAGTGCACAGTTCAGAGGGATGCCCAGCCACAGAGGTGCCAAAACGCAGAGCTGGAACCAATCACCTGCTCCAACAGAGACAAGGTGAAAGCACTGGGCAGGGTGCTCAGAATGTGCTCTTGCTTCTTTGTAATGAAATATCAGAAGACAGATTGTAACATTGTTCAGCAAGCTATTTTTTGTACTGAAACATCAGAAGGCATTATGAAACTGTTCAGCAAATCATCTCTAAACAATGTCATAAAGGGTTACCTAGTTTGGGGTAAGCCCGGAATGAATATCTGCACCATCATTCCTCCCGCTAACAAACATGTCCATCTATGTGAAGCATAATTCCCAACACACCACCATCTCCAAACCAACACCAAACCACTGCCAAACAAAGCTGAAGAGGAAAACCAGAAAGGTCTCCGAGAAGTGCTGCTTGCAGGGAGAAGAATGGCCCTGCACAGAGGCTCCTGAGGGCAGCAGGTGCCTGCTTTGGAGCCTTGGCAATTTCCACCAGGCAGAATTTACAACCGTCTGGGACCTGCAGTCTCAGAGGGCTCACGGAGAAGGGGGAAGCTCTTGGCTACCCGGGAGGTCACCAGTGACTCTGAGCAAAGTGCAGATCAATGCCTGCTTAGGGTTAACCCCAGGCTGGGAGAGGGCATCTGGCAAGGAACAGACCTGGAAGAGCCTGCCCCTCTTTGAGCTGCTACAGCAGCTTCTGGGAATTTGTAAGAGCCATACTGATGAGGGTCCCACACCCTCCCTTGCCAGGGCGCCCTCAGGGAGGCCACACTGCAGGAGGCAGAGTATGAGGTGGGGAAGATGGATCGGCCTTATCCTCACCACCCCCCATACGAGTCTCCTCTGGTATGGATGGTGTCTCCTCTCTGGTGGGAAGTATGTGATTTCTCTATTTCTATTTCTCTTTTGTTCGGGCTTCCTAGAAATTCAGAGCTAGGTGTGAAATTCCCAATTCCCACAGACAAGCAACATCCCCAGCAGTAATAAGGACGTTCCACACACCCAGGACTTGGGATATTTGTGTATTTTCAAGAATAAAAGTTTGCCCTTTAGCCTCCTCAGAGCCCCCTCCCTTCTCCTCGCTCTCCCCTTACCACTGCTATTCATCATCTTACTCCTACAGATACCCCCTCTTCGTGGTGGCACCGGGCACTAGTAACTCATGGCTGTAAAGGAGAGCTGAGAACAAAACAGGAAGAAAAGAGGTTAAGTAATGGCAAGAAAAAAGATGTACCTTAGGAATAAAAAAGAGTTCCCGAATGTCACAGTGTATTTAATTAATGCTTCTATTTATTAAAGATTAAAAATACATATCAGGTGACGACTTAAAATGTTAGTCATGATTTTAACTGTGAATTCTGTGGCACCGGAGATAACAGAACAATGAGTGCTTGTAGAAGGCACTCGGTTATTTGTTGAATGAACTTCTTGGGAAAGCCTTCTTAGGAAAGTATTAGAAGTAGATTCTGCTAAAACAGGGGCTACCCTCAGAGGTCTCAGGACAAGGGATAGAAAGTCAAACACTGATGTTTAAGAAGGGATGCCTATGACACATGAATCCCACAGCCATCTCTCCAAAAGAGCAACTATTTTGACTGCGCATGCGGGAAGATGGCGGGCCGGGCGACTTGAGATCCGCGGGTCTCCCTGCTCCTTTTCCGTCTGCGTCGGGAGCTCCCGGGCACGTGAGGCCGTGCCGCGTTTACTGGCGGGAGGGACGGCCTAGCCGGGCGACGCCTCGGAGGAGGCCGCGGACCCCTTAGGTGCTGGGCCCTTGGAAATCGGCGCGTGGGGGGCGGTGCTCGAGCTGAGCGCGAGAGGGCGGGAGAGCTCGTGGGGTGCGAGAGGAGCAGGACGCCCGGCCGGGCAGCATGAGTCAGCAGCGGCCGGCGAGGAGATTACCCAGTCTCCTCCTGCACCCGACGGAGGAGACCCCATCAACGTGGAGGGCCTGCTGCCATCAAAAATAAGGATTAATTTAGAAGATAATGTACAATATGTGTCCATGAGAAATCTGCTCCCGGGGGTATTCTTGACTTAAACAAGGTTGCAACGAAACTGGGAGTCCGAAAGCGGAGAGTGTATGACATCACCGATGTCTTAGATGGAATCGACCTCGTTGAAAAGAAATCCAAGAACCATATTAGATGGATAGGATCTGATCTTAGCAATTTTGGAGCAGTTCCCCAACAAAAGAAGCTACAGGAGGAACTTTCTGACTTATCAGCAATGGAAGATGCTTTGGATGAGTTAATTAAGGATTGTGCTCAGCAGCTGTTTGAGTTAACAGATGACAAAGAAAATGAAAGACTAGCATATGTGACCTATCAAGACATTCATAGCATTCAGGCCTTCCATGAACAGATCGTCATTGCAGTTAAAGCTCCAGCAGAAACCAGATTGGATGTTCCAGCTCCCAGAGAAGACTCTATCACAGTGCACATAAGGAGCACCAACGGACCTATCGATGTCTATTTGTGAGAAGTGGAGCAGGGTCAGACCAGTAACAAAAGGTCTGAAGGTGTCAGGACCTCTTCATCTGAGAGCACTCATCCAGAAGGCCCTGAGGAAGAAGAAAATCCTCAGCAAAGTGAAGAATTGCTTGAAGTAAGCAACTGATGGCATTTGAGAATTTATGTATCACTGAGTTTTTTGGGAATATCTTCGTGGAGAATTACGCATCAAATTTGATTCTCAGAGCAATAAATTATCCATGAAGTGCTCTCGTTCTCAGTAGCGGCATCATGGCCAGTAGTGTCTTTGAGGAGTTCACCACTTAGATTACTGAGTAATTGTGGTTTCCACATTTGAAAACAACTCCTTTTATAATTATTCACTGCTTTTTGTCAGTGAAATAGACATCTTGCCTCCTGAAGTAGCTTCATCACAGAGTGTCATGAAGACAGACAGTCAGGCTGAAAAGGACAGTTCTTTGTGGACTCTACCCTTCCCTTCAAGGAGTATGTCATATGTCACAAAAGAAATTGCCTTACACTGGTTCATGTTTGCAGTTACTGTTGTACATTGCATAGATGTACACACGAATTTAAATGTGATGTCTTTGTATATATCTGTATAATGTTGAGATTACTTACGAAATATGTCTGAGTGACACTTTTCACTCTTGTACAGCCAAAATAATGTATATATGGAAAATGACAGACAAATTCTCTAATCTCTTTGGTATCTATAACTTATTAGAATCCTCTGGATGAGGGTTAGAAGAGACTTTTTCCAAACTTCTACATGTAGAAGTATCATAAATGTGCTACACATTTATGTTTGTGGATTTAATTAAAGTATTTTAATATGGTTTTCAGTGCTAAAATTGGAGTCAGATACTTCTTGGTTTTAAGCTGTCTACCTAATTGCTGTCTCCCAGCAGATCGGTGGCATGCCCAGTGGCTTTGGGGGCAAGGATAGAAATGCCATCAGGAAATAGCTGAATTCATTGTGAAACATGAATTCAGTCATGGTGATAATTGGAAACTCCTTTCAGGTTTTTGCAAGTAGATTTTGTAATGTTTGTGTATGCAGCCTTGCTGTTGAGTCAGTCCAAGGGGTTTTACTTAGGACAAGTTGTACCTTGCCCTCTCTCCAGCTCTGCTCCCACATTTTCACATACCTAGCTATTTCTACCTCATTGGGTAAGTCATTTACCACTCTGTGCCTCAGTTTACTCTGTAGTTTACCATTAGACTGTGAGCTCCTTGAGGGACTTTGTCATAATCACTGTTACATCCCAGTGCCTCACACTATGCCTGGCCCTTAAGAAGTGCTCAATAAATGTCTGAACAAAAAAAAAAAAAAAAAAAAAAGAGCAACTATTTTCAAAATCAGGTCTAAAGATGAGCCATCCAAGAAACTGCTCTTGCTCCCAGAGGTTTTAAAGAAAGTCATTCCCATGAACGTGAGAAGTAACCCAACACTTTGAAATGATAATCTTTTTACAGCAATAACTGTTGCTGCAGGGCTTGAGAAAAAAAGTTCTCTTCCTTTGGGTTAAAGTCTTAAATGCTGAGCCCGTAGCCAGCAACCTTAAAGACTACTCGGGTCCAGTTCATTCTATCTGGAGGAGTCACTTGGGAATTGAAAACACAGGAAAACTTTTTTTCTGGTCCATGAACAAACAAGAACACTTAACTGAATTAGACACAAAACTAAGTATTTATGGTTGTCATCTTAACAGGTTTCAAACAGGCTTCATTTTAATTTAACATAATTTCAAAATTATAGCAAAATAGTCAATAAAATACGAACGTGCTTAATTTGATGAATTTATGTGTTTTTTGAAGAAAATATGCAGAATAAACAAGTCAATTATTCTCACTAAATACATTAAAATTTAAGGGTAATATTTTTATTATGACTTGCTCTCCTGATACAGCAAAATTTATTGTTATGTAGTTATGGAAGGAGGCTCACTACTCCCCAATGATTTCACAAATTACAGCTTCAGCCAGCTATAAAATAACCAAATCAGTTCTGATATAGCCATAAAATTAAGCCTGAAAAAATAGTGAAGTAAATCATCCCTTTAAAATCAAGTTGTTGAACAATATGTTCTGCATGATTCCATTTATGTCAGAAAAAATATATTTGTGTAAGTATATACACAGAAAAGGGTCTGGAAGAATATATACCAAACTATAAAGAATCTATATCAAAGTCAATAAGGGGCATAGACAAGGAGGGGAACTTTCACATTTTACTTTCCACATTCTTTTTTTTTTTTTTTGCCGGAGTCTCACTCTCTTGCCCAGGCTGGAGTGCAGTGGCGCAATCTTGGCTCACTGCAAGCTCCGCCTCCCGGGTTCACACCATTCTCCTGCCTCAGCCTCCCGAGTAGCTGGGACTACAGGCACCCGCCACCACGCCCAGCTAATTTTTTTATATTTGGGGTTTCACTGTGTTAGCCAGGATGGTCTCAATCTCCTGACCTTGTGATCTGCCCACCTCAGCCTCCCAAAGTGCTGGGATTACAGGCGTGACTTTCTACATTCTTGTAACAGAATTATAGTCACCGTTACCTCCATCAAAAAATTAAAATTCAAAAATTAGGCCAGGCACGGTGGCTCACGCCTGTAATCCCAGCACTTTGGGAGTCTGGAGCAGCAGATCACCTGAGGTCAGGAGTTGGAGAGCAGCCTGACTGGCCAACATGGTGAAACCCCATCTCTACTAAAAATACAAAAATTAGCCGGGCGTGGTGGAGGGCACCTGTAATCCCAGCTACTTGGGAGGCTAAGGCAGGAGAATCACTTAAACCCGGGAGGCGGAGGTTGCAGTGAGCCAAGATTGTGCCACTGCACTCCAGCCTGGGTAACAGAGCGAGACTCCATCTCAAAAATGAATGAATGAATTAATTAATTAAAGCAAACAAATATAAGCTACCACCTGAAGTAGAAACCAGTATCTCTTCACCTTACATTTACATAATACTTTACCCTAATGCATTTTATCTGCTGTTCTAAATCATGACTTACTTCAAATCAAATCTTAAGTGAAAATCAAGATTTCCTTTTGGGGGCATTATACAAAAAAGACTGTAAAATTTCATTCTCTGAAAGTCTTTTTAAAAAGGGATAGATTGTATCTGGCTGGGATAGGGTAGGTGTGATCGGACCCGGAGGAAATGACGGCTGCTCAACTCTGCATCTCCTTTCCTCACCCTGCTGAAAAGTGCCACCTAGCATGGTCAATCAAGGTCACCAATGCAAAGCAGTAGTGGGCAAACACCACCCAGGTTATCCAAAGCAGCACATGGGGTTGGGAAACTGATGACCTTGGAGATTTCAAAATCACCTAACAATAACCCCACCTTCCCTAACCACAGGGCTAAGCAACCTAATGGATCGAACATATGTGTGCTTTGGTCATCCGCAACCCAGACCACTAGACTAATTTTGCTTTAGAACTGGACTATATCAAGTGTGAACGATCATACTTGTTATCATGTGGGAAAAAAGGTTTAATTACTCCCTAATTGTCTGGGAAACAAAAGATTTCAAAATACGGAGCTCCTGGGGGAAGGAGAGTTAATAAAATGGGTCCTTGAGAAGTGAAGTGGGAAGCCTGCCTCATGCCATGGCACCAGCGATGCCACAGGTGTACCCAGTGCCCTGCCGAGAGCAGAGACGGTGTTCTCAGAGTTGCTATCAAAAAGGAGGCAGCAGACTGCATTCTGAAGCATCAGACAATGGGTCACATGCGAAAACAGAATTAAATACACAAAAATAGCACCAACTTAAGGCAAGCCTGGGCAAACTGCACTACATCAAAGAAAGAACACACAACTGGTATCAGATTTTTTTTTCTGTTTTAATAAAGAGAAGGCCTGGACACCTGAAAGTTGACGGGAAGCAGGCATCACTAATTTCTCCGAGTTCACAGTTTTGTTAGAATGTCTTTGCTCTGATTATGGTTTTATTTATTTATTTTTTTGAGATGGAGTTTTTTTTGTTTTGTTTTGTTTGCTTTTGTTGCCCTGGCTGGAGTGCAGTGGTGCAATCTCGGCTCACCGCAAACTCCGCCTCCCAGGTTCAAGAGATTCTCCTGCCTCAGCCTCCCAAGTAGCTAGGATTACAGGCACCCACTACCACGTCTGGCTTCTTTGTGTTTTTAGTAGAGATGGGGTTTCACCATGTTGGTCAGGCTGGTTTTGAACTCTTGACCTCAAGCGATCCACCCGCCTCAGCCCCCCAAAGTGCTGGAATTACAGGCATGAGCCACCACGCCTGGCCTGATTATGTTTTGATGGATATACAGAAGCTCTTGCTTTGGTACAGAAACAGGCCCCGCTTTGCTTCGACCTCTGGGCCCCCCACCTTCAGAAATGTCTGGTGCCATTCCTGGCTCCTCCTCTCAGTGGTCTTCCAGGGTATCCACTCACAGCTTTCTGATGTCGCCCACCTGTCTCTAGCCCAGATACCCAGTCCTCATGGCAAGTGACTGCAGCAATTTTTACAAATCTACACCCTTAGGGTTCCCATCCCAGGACGTTCAGGTTTCTCCACCCCTTTAGAAGTGCCCAGAATATCCCCTACCCCACAATTCCAACAGGACGTCACTCTCCTCTTACTTAAGAAAAATGCCTAAAATTCCAGCCCTTCCAAAAGGCCTTTCTAGATTGACCACTCAGGAGTTACTCTGGCCTCCCCTTCACTCCTGCTAGACTGAAAACAAGGACAGACTTGCCTGGCCTCTCTCCCCGAGTAGACACCTACCCCCAGTGAACACATCCTGTCAGTGTCCTCCCGTCTATTTGCAAATTGATTGACTGTTTCATTGCTGGCCTTGGATGACCTCTCCTAGAGGGCAGGGACGGTGGTGTTCGGCAAAGCCTTGGTCGTCTGGATAATGGGAAATGGGGTCTTCTGGTGAATTTAATTACAGGGTTAGGTGGAAACTTTGCTTCAACTCTCATTATTAGAAAGTCTATTGTAAAGCTTTTTAAAATACAACTGACCACTTTCCAGCGAGGGTAGAGTTAATATGCCTTAATCTTTGATTTAGGATCTTGCAGTGCCCCAGGCTCACCATTCTCTTCTGCTACTATAATTATAGATGCGGAAGACATACAGACTGGGCTGACGACTGCTTGGAAGCTAATTTCTAGAATAAACCCTTGCTACCACATCTTGTGATTTTTGCCCTTCTGAAGGTGGAGTTCCAAAATAAAAACAAAATCCCGCTTAACTGAGGGTTCCAGTTGAGGGAGGTCTGCTGCCATGGTCTTTGTTAAGTGCCTGCCACCATGGCCCACAATTAGTCAGTTAATAAAGGGTTCTTGATGAGAGAATTTGGCAACATGTGATTTTCCACAAATATAAGCTTGATTTTGATGCAACCACTCATTTCTTTGAAAAATCAGGGGGCATTCACACACAGGTGTTCTAGATTTCCTTACAGTAAAACCTACCCTTTACAAGGAATAGCTGTGTTCACTTTGAAGCAGTAAAGAAGCAGGTGTCCACTCATGGCAAATGAGGAACTCCCTTTTTTTTTTTTTTTTTTTTGAGACCGGGTCTCACTCTTTTTTTGTGTGTGTGAGATGGGGGCCACCCAGGCTAGAGTGCAGTAGTGCAATTACAGCTCACTGTAGCCTCAACCTTCTGGGCTCAACCAGTTCTTCCCACCTCAACTTCTGAAGCAGCTGAGACTACAGGTATGTACCACCATGCCCAGGTAATGCTTTTGATTTTTAGTAAGATGAGGTCTTGTTATATTGCCCAGGCTGGTCTCAAACTCCTGAGCTCAAGTGATCCTCCTGCCTCAGTGGCATGAGCCACTATGCCCAGCCAGAAGCTAAAAATATTAATCAAGGAGTCATAACTAAGGATGCACTGCACACCCGAAGCCAGGGACCACAAGAGGTCAGCAACTGGGACTGCTTCCTCCAGTTCCCAGGCTGGGGCTCAGCAGCAGTGGCCTGGGCTCTGGGGACTTACTTTAAGCCGAAATCCCAAACTCATTATCATTCAAACCAATTTTCTGTGTCCAGCATCATCCCACCTAAACTGGTCCTTAAAACCACTGACAGTCATTTCTCCAATCTGTAAAAGGCCTGCTGAGGCCTTTGCATTATCAGGACTTAACTGGGAGTAGAATGCCCTCCCCATCCAAATCCTGACCATTTCTGAACACTCAGCCCATGTCCTCTTCCTGAGTGTCTTCCCCAACAACAACCACCTACGCTGAACTTTACTTTGATCTCTGCAGCAAACTGTAGATAGAGATGGGATCTCACTATGTTGCCTAGCTGGTCTTGAACTACTGAGCTCAAGTGATCTCCCTGCTTCTGCCTCCCAAAGTGCTAGGATTACAGCAGTGAGCCACCACACCTGGCCTATGTATGCCTTTTTTTTTCTTTTCTTTTTTTTTTTTTTTGAGACAGAGTCTTGCTCTGTGGCCCAGTCCGCAGTGCAGTGGTGCAATCTCGGCTCATGGCAACCTCCAGGTTCAAGGCATTTTCCTGCCTCAGCCTTCCAAGGAGCTGGGATTACAGGCACGCACCATCACGCCCAGCTAATTGGCCAGGCTGGTCTCAAACTCCTGACCTCAGGTGATCCACCCACCTTGGCCTCCCAAAGTGCTGGGATTACAGGTGTAAGCCACCACACCCGGCCACGTGTGCATTTTAAAACGTTATGCTCAGACGGGGTCTATAGGTTTCACCAGACTGCCAAAAGGATCCATGACACAAAAAAAGTACTCTCAGTTGCATCCTTCGGAACCTTTCAACACATACACATATACCTCACTCATCCTTTTGTGAAGAGTGTCTATTAATCACTAGATTAAGAGGATTTGGATAAAATTTATAAACGTACAAACTTTGCTACCAAGGACTGACACATTTACTTTTCTAGCTCATCAGTTTATGTCCTAGAAAAATTCCAGAGCCATATTAACCAGCTGTTTCCTATTTTTCATTTTACGATGGTGTTTCCACTTTCACCTGCAAAGTGACTAATAGTAATACCTATTACAGTAATTTAAGTAACACCATTTAGAGTAATTTCATCTTTAGTACTGTATTTATACTACTAAGAAAGCCGCCAACGATTCAAGCTGCACTCACTGGTGAAACCCTATGCTATATACGTAATTAATTTATTTCCTAAATTCTTACCTCCCTCCACCCCCTCCATTGGAAAATAAACTCTAAGAATGCAAAAGTTTTTGTGTGTTTTTCTTCAACGCTTAGAGCAGTGCCTGGCACCTAACAGTCAATATCTGCTAACTTTGATGAATGAATGGTATATTTATATTATGCAATATTACTATGCAGCCATGAAACACAATGAGTTAGAGTGGTACCAGCTAATTTAATGGAATTTCCAGAAGTATGAAATTAAGAAAACAAGAAGAAAAGTGTCAAAAATATCATCCCACTTTTTTTTTCTTCCCTGAAACGGAGTCGTGCTCTGACACCCAGGCTACAGTATAGTGCTGCCATCATGGCTCACTGCAACCTCAACCTTCTGGGCTCAGGGAATCCTTCCACCTCAGCCTCCCATGTAGCTGGGACTACAGGTGTGTGCCACAACGCCCAGCTAATTTATTTTAAATTATTTTTTGTAGAGACAGGGTCTCCCTATGTTGCCCAGGCTGGTCTCAAACTACTAGGCTCAAGTGATCCTCCCACCTCAGCTTCCCAAAGTGTTGGGATTACAGGTGTGAGCCACTGTGCCCAGCCTAATCCCACTTTTTAAAAAGTATACCCCCAAATCCATACACTGGTGAGGAAGTGGAGAACGTGGAATCCTCACACACAGAATGTAAAATGGTACAGCTCTGGAGAACATTTTAGCAGTTTCTCAAAATGTTTAACGTAGCTACTACATGACCCAGCAATTCAACTCCCAGATATACACCTGAGAGAACTGAAAGGATATGTCCACACAAAAATTTGCAGAGGAACTTGTACACACTTGTTCACAGTAGCATTATTCATAATAGCCCAAAGTGGCAAAAACGCAAATGTTCATCAACTGATGGACAAATAAAGCATGAACAACTGATGGACAAATAAAGTATATCATTCAGCATATAAGAAATGAAGTGCTAATACATGCTACAACAGGAATAGACCTTAATAACATTTTGCTAAATGAAAAAAGCCAAACAAAAGGTCACATGTTGTATGATTCCATTTACATAAAAATACCTAGACTAGGCAAATCCGTAGAGACACAAAGATCAGTGACTGCCCAGAGCCAGAGGGAGTGGTGAATGTGAAATGGCTGCTAATGAGTACAGACTTCTTTTTGAGGTATTGAACATGTTATGGAATCAGATGGTGGTGATCAATGCATAACTTTGTGAATATACCAAAAACCACATGAAAGGTACACTTTAAAAGCCTGAATTTTAAGGTATGTGAATTGTATCTCCATAAACCTGTGATTTTGTTAATATACGCTTATTTGCAAACGAATACATGGATAATGAGGAATAATATGAAAGGTTAATGACAACCTTGGTGATAGGGTACAGGAGACTGGGAGAGGAAGATAAGTGTTGAGGTAGAAGAAGACAAAAAATAAAAGGCTAAAACAATAATCCAGGGCCAGAGGCCATGAGTTGGGAGATGGAGCAAGACGAAGTGTACAAAGAAATGAGCATAAATCATAAAAATGAGGGAACTAGGGTTGAAAACTCCAGCAAGTAGTTTGTAATGGGGGAGATGAAGCAAACCTAAGTAACTGCAATGATTCAACGGAATTTGCAGAAAATGCAGAAGGGCGAGAAAAGCAATGAAAAAATGGATCAGAAGATTTAAAATTGGCTCTACCCCACCAAAGTTTTAAAAAGCAAGCAAGAAGAAAATTCAGTTGCTCCTGGGCAAGAATTCTTGGGCCCAGTGGGGTAGAACCAAACCATGATAAGGAGACACCAGTGTTTTGTAAGCAAGAGAATATATTAAGGAGAGAAAAGGGGCATTTATTGGGAGAAAAGTTCTCACTGTGATTGTTCTGGACTAAAGTAGCCCCATCGGACTGCCTCAGGAACTCATGGTGGAAGAGGTGCCACTGGAAAATGGCTAAGTCGGGATCTTCCCCAAGAACACTAGAAGAGACAGAGGAAGAATAGAAGAGCTTTAAATTTTAGCAGATATTTCTTTTTCTTGTTTAATTAAAATAAATCTTATTGACCTAATATTTTTGAGACTGGGCTCTTGCAATGCTCCCCAGACTGAACTCAAACTCCTAGGCTCAAGAGATTCTTCCACTTCAGCCTCCTGAAAAGCTGGCACTACAGGTGCACACCACTGGGCCCAGCATAATGGCTATTTCTTGACAAATCTTGACAATGCCACCAGTATGTTTTTCTTTAGAGACAGAGTCTCGCTTTGTAGCCCAGGCTGGAGAACAGTGGTGTGATCCTAGCTCACTGCAGCCTCAAACACCTGGACTCAGGAGATCCCCCTGCCTCAGCCTCTCAAGTAGCTGAGACTACAGGTGCGCAACACCACACTTGGCGAATTTTATTTTATTTTTTTTATTATACTTTAAGTTCTAGGGTACATACACCTGGCTAATTATAAAATGTTTATCTGTACAGACAGGTTCTCGTTATGTTGCCCAGGCTGGTCTCGAACTCTCGGCCTCAAGCAATCCTCTCCTCCTCACCTTCCAAAGCCCCGAAATATGCCCACATCCAGCCTGCCACCAGTTTCTTTGCATACTTCTTTCCTAGGCTTGACCAAGACCTTTACTTTCTTCTGTGTACAGCTCAGCATTAAAAAAAAACAAAAAAGTTTAGGCTGGGCACAATGGCTCACGCCTGTAATCCCAACACTTAGGGTGGCCAAGGTGGGAGGTTTGCTTGAACCCAGGAGTTCCACACCAGCCTAGGCAAGATGGCAAGACCACGTCTCTCCAAAACAATTTTTGTAAAATTAGCCAGGTGTGCTGGCGTGGGCCTGCAGTCTCAGCTAGTGAGAAGACTAAGGCAAGAGGAACCCTTGAACCCAGGAGTTCAAGGCTACGGTGAGCTGTGATCACCTCTCCAGCCTGGGTGATAGGGTGAGACCCAGTCTCTGAAAACAATTAAAAATAAAAAAAGTTGAATAATGAGTCTTCTTTTTAGAGGCAATGTATTTTTCCTCTTTAACTTTTTGTTTTCCTTAGGCTATATGCACAATAGACAAAGTTGAAATTTAATCTTAATCTCGTAAACCCTTACTGTCCAAACACATCAAACTCAAAAAAAAAAAAAGACAAAAACAAAAAAGGTGAAAGGTGTACAAGAGAAAAAAGGGAAGTAATCTGTGCCAAATGTACATTCCTTCCACAATTTGGGACAAAAATGATGTCTACCTGGTCTCTGGGTGCCAAAATAAGACATTAGAGACACTCCCCTCCTTCAAGAAATAAAATTGGAATCAGACACTAAGATACAATTAAACAGACTTTGAAAGTTGGTATGCACTACTGGGAGGTGTCTCACAGCTGGCAGGGTCAACTGCAACTAGAAGAAAAGCTCCTAAGGGCAGAAACTAAGTGGCTCACTTCCTCTGTAACACTGCCGTGCCCAGCACTGTACCAGCACCCCAGCAGAGTCAACAACTTTCCGTCAAGCCACACACTTACGGTCTCATCGTCCAGTGGAGGCCGCAGATGAGACATAGTGTGCCAAATCCCAAATGCACAGGGTGCCAGACAAGTCTGCGGGAGGCAGGAGGACTAGGGAAGCCTTCCAGGCAAGGTGATGCCTGAGCTGAGTTGTTTTTCTTTTGAGTTTGGAACATTAATTTAATCGGAGGAAAACAAGGGACATGAAAAGGGCAAGGAAATAAGAAAATGAGCTGAGTTTTGAAGGCAATGATCGGATGAAGTGAGAGAAGAATATTCCAGCAGAGGGAGACAAGGAGACTGCAGAGATTTCAAGGGGCCAAGAGCTGTTCAGTGCAGCTCAGTGAAGCACCTAAACAGAGGTGGGGGAAGGAGAACAGGGGTCAAAGCCCAGTATTGAAGTGTTCTGGATACCAAGCTAAGGAGACCTTATTACGAAGGTACTGGGGCTGCTGAAGGGTTTAAATGGGAGAGTGATTGTGAACAGATTAATAGTTTGGAAAGATACAGGCAGAAGTAAACCTCTGGATTTAACCAAAAAATAAAGGACAGAACCACAGTGAAGATGTTGGAAAAGATCAGGAAAAACACTGTTAAAAGATATTCACTCTCGGGGCCGGGCGCTGTGGCTCACGCCTTAAATCCCGGCACTTTGGTAGGCCGAGGCGGGCTGATCACGAGGTCAGGAGATCGAGACCATCCTGGCTAACACGGTCAAACCCCGTCTCTACTAAAAATACAAAAAAAATTAGCCGGGTGTGGTGGCGGGCGCCTGTAGTCCGAGCTACTCCAGAGGCTGAGGCAGGAGAATGGCGTGAACCCGGTAGGCGGAGCTTGCGGTGAGCCGAGATCAGGCCACTGGAATCCAGCCTGGGCGACAGAGGGAGACTCCATCTCAAAAAAAAAAAAAAAAAGAGAGAGAGAGAGTCTGACTCTGTTGCCAAGACTGGAGTGCAGTGGCGCGATCTCGGCACATCACAATCCCTTCCCCGCCCCCGGGTTCAAGTGATTCTCCTGTCTCAGCCGCTGGAGTAGCTGGGACTACAGGCGCGTGCCACCATGTCTGATTAAATTTGTATTTTTACTAGAGACGGGGTTTCACTCTGTTGGCCAGGCTGGTCTCCAACTCCTGATCTCGTGATCCGCCCGCCCCGACCTCCCAAAGTGCTGGGATGCGTGAGCCTCCACGCCTGGCCACTATTTTTTCTTTCTTTCTTTCGTGTGTGTGTGTGTGTGTGTGTGTGTGTGTGTGTGTGTGTGTGTGTGACGAAGTTTCGCTCTTGTTGCCCAGGTTGGAGTGCAATGGTGTGATCTCAGCTCACTGCAATCCCCGCCTCAGCAGGAGAGCAGGAATCTTCAGTGATCCACTGGCGGATCTGCAGCCATTGTGCGCGCCAGGTCTTCCCAAGTCTTTTGTGCGCGCGCCTCTCCTTCCAGTACCTATGCCGCCAGCGTCCCCTAGCCTCCCGCCATTGCCAGCAGGTGCTGAGATCGCGCCATTGCACTCCAGCCTGGGGGACAAGAGCGAAACTCCATGTCAAAAAAAAAAAAAAAAGGATGAAAATTTTGGAAAAATATGGAAGAAACCAAATGGATTTCTAGCTCAACTAAATCGTAATTATTCAGTGTCTAGTTTTGGCAAGAAACCACATATTTCATGTCCACAATCAGGGACACAGTCCCAGCTCTCAAGTGTGGGTCTTTCCTAAGCAAATTGAAGAACACAGGCATAAAAGTACATTAAATCAATAAACCTTTTTCTCTCTGTCTCTCTCTCTCTCTCTCTCTCTCTCTTTTTTTTTTGAGGTGGAGGTTCGCACTGTCACCCAGGCTGGAGTGCAGTGCTGAGATCTCGGGTGACTGCAAGCTCCGCCTCCCGAGTTCACGCCATTCTCCTGCCTCAGCCTCCGGAGTAGCTGGGACTGCAGGCGCCCGCCACCACGCCCGGCTAATTTTTTGTAGTTTTAGTAGAGACCGGGTTTCGCTATGTTGGCCAGGCTGGTCTCCAACTCCTGACCTCGTGATCCGCCCGCCTCCGCCTCCCAAAGTGCCACAGCCCAGGCTTTTTTTTTTTAAGACAGAGTCTCGGCCCGGCGCGGTGGCTGACGCCTTTAATCCCAGCACTTTGGGAGGCCGAGGCGGGCTGATCACGAGGTCAGGAGATCGAGACCATCCTGGCTAACACGGTCAAACCCCGTCTCTACTAAAAATACAAAAAATTAGCCGGATGTGGTGGCGGGCGCCTGTAGTCCGAGCTACTCCCGAGGCTGAGGCAGGAGAATGGCGTGAACCCGGTAGGCGGAGCTTGCGGTGAGCCGAGATCAGGCCACTGGAATCCAGCCTGGGCGACAGAGGGAGACTCCATCTCAAAAAAAAAAAGAAAAAGAGTCTGGCTCTGTTGCCCAGGCTGGAGTGCAGTGGCGCGATCTCGGCGCATCACAATCCCTTCCCAGCCCCCGGGTTCAAGTGATTCTCCAGTCTCAGCCGCCGGAGTAGCTGGGACTACAGGCGCGTACCACCATGTCTGACTAAATTTGTATTTTTACTAGAGACGGGGTTTCACTCTGTTGGCCAGGCTGGTCTCCAACACCTGATCTCGTGATCCGTCCGCCCCGACCTCCCAAAGTGCTAGGATTATAGGCATAAGCCACCACGCCCGGCCTCTTTTTTTTCTTTTTCTTTTCTTTATCTGGAGACTGAGTTTTGCACTTGTTGCCCAGGCTGGAGTGCAATGGTGCGATCTCAGCTCACTGCAATCTCCACCTCAGCAGGAGAGCAGGAATCTTCAGTGATCCACGGGCAGATCTGCCGCCATTGTGGGCACCTGTTCCTCCCGCGACCTTTGTGCTCGCCTCTCTCCTTCCCGTACCTATTGCATGACCCCCCACGTCCGCCTCCCGCCATTGCCAGCAAGTGCCTCGCGCGGGTACCTGGCTGCGCTTATTAATCCGTTAAGCTCGCTCTGTCACGGGCGCCGTGATGTGCTCACGCGCCCGCTCCCTCAGGTTTAAAAGGCGCGTTGCCCGGCAACAGAAGAAACTGCTGGCTTAGCCGTTGGCCGAGTTGGCGGCTGGACGAGGACGCTCCGAGCCCAGCTCTCGAGAGTTCAAGCAACCGACGGTTCCCCACTGCTCCCAGGAGCGGTTACCTGGGCACTCTGTGCCCCTCCTTCCTGTTCGGGCCCAGGCCGAGGACCTGCCAGTAGGGCTCAGTTGCCTGGAGCCCGTTCAGCCCATCCCCCAGTTCACTTTGCCTGTGGGATCTCCCCGTTGCTCCTGCCCGTGGACTGAGTGGCAGGCCATCCTACAAGCACCCGGACACTTGACATCAGTGGTGTCAAGACAACTCTAAGAAGGTTTTCCGTGATCCTGCAAGCCCTGCCTTCCTTCCTGGGATCCTGCCTTCAATTTGATTGCACAGGTACCACAGCAAGCCAGTGCTGTGTGCTCCGAGTTCCAGGGCGTCCTCCAGCTCAGCCACTGCACTGAGAACATGGACTCTCTGTGGGGCCCAGGAGCCGGGAGTCACCCCTTTGGGGTCCACAACACCCGGCTGTCCCCAGACTTGTGTCCAGGGAAGATAGTGTTGAGGGCCCTCAAGGAGAGCGGGGCAGGGATGCCTGAGCAGGACAAGGACCCTAGAGTCCAAGAGAATCCTGGTGATCAGAGAAGGGTCCCCGAGGTCACCGGGGATGCACCGTCTGCATTTCGGCCCCTGCGGGACAATAGAGGCCTCTCTCCCTTTGTGCCCGGGCCCGGGCCTCTGCAGACAGACCTCCATGCCCAGAGGTCAGAAATCAGATATAACCAGACATCCCAGATCTCCTGGACGAGCTCCTGCACCAACCGAAATGCCATCTCCAGCTCCTACAGCTCCATGGGAGGCTTGCCGGGGCTAAAGCGGAGGAGGGGGCCAGCCTCATCCCACTGCCAGCTGACCCTCAGTTCCTCAAAGACAGTGAGTGAGGACAGGCCTCAGGCTGTCTCTTCAGGTCACACCCAGTGTGAAAAGGCAGCAGATATAGCACCAGGGCAGACACTCGCCCTCAGGAATGACTCCTCCACATCCGAGGCCTCTAGGCCCAGTACACACAAGTTTCCCCTGCTGCCACGCAGGCGAGGGGAGCCTTTGATGCTGCCACCTCCCTTAGAGCTGGGGTACCGGGTCACTGTTGAAGACCTGGACCGGGAGAAGGAGGCGGCATTCCAGCGCATCAACAGTGCACTGCAGGTTGAGGACAAGGCCATCTCGGACTGCAGACCCTCACGGCCTTCCCACACTTTGTCCTCACTTGCAACAGGGACTTCTGGTCTGCCTGCCATTTCTAAAGCACCCAGTATGGATGTACAGCAGGAGACACACAAGTCCCAAGACTGCCTGGGCCTACTGGCCCCCTTAGCATCTGCTGCAGGGGTCCCCTCTACAGCTCCCATGTCTGGGAAGAAGCACAGACCACCAGGCCCCCTGTTCTCCTCCTCAGATCCCCTTCCTGCCACCTCTTCCCATTCCCAGGACTCAGCCCAGGTCACCTCGCTGATTCCTGCCCCCTTCCCAGCTGCAAGCATGGATGCGGGCATGAGAAGAACAAGGTGTGGCACTTCTGCTCCTGCAGCTGCCGCAGCAGCCCCTCCCCCCTCCACATTGAACCCCACGTTGGGGTCACTACTGGAGTGGATGGAGGCCCTTCACATTTCTGGGCCTCAGCCACAGCTGCAGCAGGTGCCCAGAGGTCAGAACCAGAGATCCCAGACCTCCCGGACCAGCTCGTGCCCCAAACGAAATGCCATCTCGAGCCCCTACCACTCTACGGGAGGCCTCCCGGAACGAAAGCGGAGAAGGGGGCCAGCCTCATCCCACTGCCAGCTGACCCTCAGTTCCTGAAACACAGTGAGTGAGGACGGACCTCAGGCTGTCTCTTCGGGTCACACCCAGTGTGAAAAGATGGCAGATACAGCACCAGGGCAGACACTCGACCCCAGGGGTGGCTCCCCCAGATCCCAGGCCTCTAGGCCCTGTAGATGCAAGTTTCCCCTGCTGCCACGCAGGCGAGGGGAGCCTTTGATGCTGCCACCTCCCTTAGAGCTGGGGTACCGGGTCACTGCTGAAGACCTGGACCAGGAGAAGGAGGCGGCTTTCCAGCGCATCAAGAGTGCACTGCAGGTTGAGGACAAGGCCATTTAGTACTGCAGACCCTCACGGCCTTCCCACACTTTGTCCTCACTTGCAACAGGGGCTTCTGGTCTGCCTGCCATTTCTAAAGCACCCAGTATGGATGCACAGCAGGAGAGACACAAGTCCCAAGACTGCCTGGGCCTAGTGGCCCCCCAGCATCTGCTGCACAGGCCTGTAGTCCCAGCTACTCAGGAGGCTGAGGCAGGAGAAGGGCATAAACCCGGGAGGCAGAGCTTGCAGTGAGCTGAGATCGCGCCACTGCACTCCAGCCTGGGTGACAGAGCGAGACTCCGTCTCAAAAAAAAAGAAAAAGAAAAAAAAGTTATTGTGACATTTCTGTATGAAATCAGCCTTCACTACATGGATAGGACCAGCACGCTTCCGCGGCACAACTCTGCAATCATACTACATTTTTTTTTTGTATTTTTTTTATTCCTTTTGAGACAGAGTCTCACTCTGTCACCCAGGCTGAAGTGCAGCCGAGATCTCGGCTCACTGCAACCTCCACCTCCTGGGTTCAAGCAATTCTCCTGTCTCAGCCTCCCAAGTAGCTGGGACTACAGGCACACGTCAAAAGGCCTGGCTAATTTTTGTATTTTTAGTAGAGATGGAGTTTTGCCATATTGGTCAGGCTGGTCTCGAACTCCTGACCTCAGGTGATCTACCTGTCTTAGCCTCCCGAAGTGCTAGGATTACAGGTGTATGTTTATTTATTTATTTAAGATGGAATCTTGCTCTGTATTTATTAATTTATTTAGTTGAGATGGAGTCTTGATCCATCACCCAGGCTAGGGTGCAGTGGTGCAATCTCGGCTCACTGCAACCTCTGACTTCCAGTTTCAAGCGATTCTCCTGCCTCAGTGTCCCAAGTAGCTGGGATTACAGGTGCCTGCCACCACAGCTGGCTAATTTTTGTATTTTTAGTAGAGACAGTGTTTCACCATCTTGGCCAGGCTGGTCTCGGGCTCCTGACCTCATGAACCACCTGCTTCAGCCTCCCAAAGTGTTGGGATTACAGGCCTAAGGCACCATGCTCGGCCATATTTATTTAATTATTTAGAGACAAAGTCTTGCTCTGTCACCCAGGCTGGAGTGCAGTGGCGCCATCTCAGCTTACTGCAGCCTCCGTCTCTGAGGTTTAAGCGATTCTCATGCCTCAGCCTCCTGAGTAACTGGGACTACAGGTACTCACCACCATGCAGGGATATTTTTTTCTATTGTTTTATAGAGACACGGTTTCACCATATTGGCCAGGCTGGTCTCGAACTCCTGACCTTAGGTGATCTGACAGCCTCGTCCTCTCAAGGCACTGGGATTACAGGCATGAGCCGCCAAGCCCGGCCTCTCACTACATTTAAGTGACGCCATGGCTCATGCCTGTAATCCTAGCACTTTGGGAGGCCAAGGCAGGTGGATCACCTGATGTCAGGAGTTCGAAACGAGCCTGGCCAACATGGGGAAACCCCGTCTCTAGTAAAAATACAAAAATTAGTCAGGTGTGGTGGTACAAGCCTGTAGGCCCAGCTACTTGGAAGACTGAGGCAGGAGAATCACTTTAAGCGGGAGGCAGAGGTTGCAGTGAGCCAATCTCAAAAAAGAAAGAAAAAAAAAAAGAAAAACATATGATGCTGGGGCATCTCGGCCTCAATACCTGCATGAGCACAGTCATGTCCAGGCCAGGGCTGCTGGTCGAGGTCCGGCCCCATCTCTTCCAGCAGAAAGGGAGTAAGCTTGCAGGGAGGCTGGGGGACAAGATCCCAGGATCTCAGCCTCTGCTCATGGATCAGCTCTGAGACCCCGAGTGAGCTGGGGGTGCTCTGTGCGCATTGGTTTCCCCAGCTGTCAAGTAAAGGGATTGGATGAGGAAGTCTTGTCAAGGTGGAATGATCTCAGATTTGGGGCAGCAGTGAATGATCCCGTTCCCTGGGCCCATGCCAGTGGCCTGGCCTCGGCTCAACACAGCCCCAACACTCTGGAATGGGGATGAGGGGGCAGTCAGCTCTTGCTCCTAGTAAGAGAGATGCAACAGGGCTCTGTGGCTGAGCTGGGTGCCTTGCCTCACACCTGTAATCCCAACCTTTGAGAGGCCGAGGCAGGAGGATTGCTCGAGGCCGGGAATTTTGAGAATAGTCTGGACAACATAGCCAGACCCCATGTCTACAAAATAATAATAAAACACACAGCTATAGTCCAAGCTACTTGGCAGGCTGAGGCAGGAAGGTCCCTTGAGTCCGGGAATTGGAGGCTGCATTGAGCTATAATCGCACCACTGCACTCCAGCTTGGGTGACAAAGTGAGACCCTGTCTCTAAAAGAAAAAAAAATTGGCCTGTGAGCATGGGTTTGATTTTCAAACAGGACCTGGAGGGTAGGGACAGACAGTGCTGTCACCCTTAGGTGCTGAACACTCAGAAACGGGCCAGCGGCAGCCCTTCCCTCACCTGCAGACACCAGATTGGGCAGAACAGCACATGGCACTTGCAGCTCTTGCAGTGAGGGCAGAACCCAGTGTCAACCCTTCTGCCTGTGGGAGGGGCTGCTGAGGCCTGCGGAGAGGCCAGGGTGGAGGCTCGTCCCCTTGTCCAGCCCTTGGCGTGGTCTCCACCAGGTCCCCAGCCCACCAGCGCAGGGCGCCCCTGAGCCTGCTGCTGCCACGGGCCCTGTCTCTACCCAGGACGTCCCCACACCCTCGCAGTGTCAGGGAAATGATCATGGTGGCGGTGACACTCCGCAGGCAGGGCTGCTGAGAGAAGCTGAGAAGGGTCACACTGCAGGCAGGGGCCCGTGTGACAAGCCCCTCTCACCCCGAGAGAGCTGACCAGGCAGCTCACGAGCAGAGCCACATCCCGGGAGTCCGAGAAAGGTCCTGGCTGGGCTCAGCCACCTCATTGGCCACGGGCAGCCTTTGTCGTGTGAGCCTTGCTCTCCTGGGGAGGCTCAGGCTGACGGCTGATGTGGGCATTGCCGAAGGTAACCGGTGGCCCAGTGTATATGGCCGGGTCTCCTCAAGCTGCATTCATTCAAGTAGGACCCAGGGTGCGTGCCCATCTCCAGCCCAGGGCAGCTCCCCTGTAAGCTGGGTGAGCTACTGAAGCCAAGGCGGGAGGCAGCTGACAACACCCACAGCCCATGCGGAGGTGGTGGAAAGGCTGGACTCAGCAGCAACACCAAATCCTGGACCAGGCAAAAACCACCCAAGACTGAGGGGCTCGTGCCAGAGCGGTGGCCACAGGTAAGAACCCGGGCCCAGGCTGTGTGGCAGGAATCCTCCATGTCCCAGGGCTTAGCATAGCAAAGGAAGACCAGCCGGGTCACCCTGGTGGCCATCTGTCCCTGTCCCACCTGCAGAGTCAGAACAGCCTCTCCCCAGTGGGGATCATCTCTCTCTGCCAAAGCAACAGCGGTCCCTGCCCCAACCAGACTACCCCACTCAGTGGAGTTACGGATGCTGCTCCAGCATCCTAACACTGCCCAGCTGGTGCCTGCCTGTGCTCACCCACACCCCCCAGGCCGGCCTTCCCTGCAGCCTGGGCTTGGCCACCTTGGCCTGATTGAGCACTGAGGCCTCCTGGGCACCCAGCCCCATCACTGCACCTGCTGCTTCCAGCCCCACCCCACCGGCTCAGGGGTTCTTCCCAGCGGCGCTGATCATGAAGTCAACATGCACGCAAGTCGTCTCAGGAAACTTCTTAATGAAAGTGTCGGCCACGGTGGTGTGTAGGTGGCTGAGCTCAGATTGCAGCTGCTAAGACACCAGCCACTTACCAAGAGAAAGCCAGGCTGCTTCAAACCCAGGGCCCACGGCAAAAAAGCATCACTTCCGGCCGGGGAGTCTGGAAGCCACGCCTTGTGGGAGGTCACACTGGCATCTAGGCCTTCGCCTGCATTGCAGAAGGAGAGCCGGGTCCCCCTCCTGGAGAATGCTGTGTTCCCCAGCCCCACACCGGCTTTGCCACCACACAGGCTGTTGAGGCAGGAGGCGGGTAAGACGTAGCTGTAGACCCAAAGCAACCACCAGCCCTGGGACCCTGCGGGAGAGGAGCACTTTTAGAACATGGAAAAGTGTGGTCATCCCATCATTAGACAGCACACATCCTACATAAATAAAAAGTCGTATGGGGAAGGAGGTTGGGGAGGGAATAAAAAATTGGCACAGACATTGATAGACTGGTTTCCAGTTTCAAGGTAACAGATGCACATCATGAGACCAGAGGAGGCAGAGACAAGGCTGGATTTGGCTTTTCTAAGCAACATGTGTTCCTGCGCAGGGCTGAATGGTCACTGAGACAGAGATGGAAGCCAGGACAAGGGAGCCCACCGGGCCCAGATAGGTACAGAGAGCAGAGGCTCCTGTTCTGTCCTCGCCACCCACGAGGGTGACACTGCTTGTAAATGGTGGCTGTGCTCTCCCAGCAAGAAAAAAGCACAACTAAATCCACACTGCACACAGACGCAGACAGAAAGCCTTCAAGTGGCTCTGTTTTCTGCTCCCTGCCTTGCCAGGTCCACAAGCAGAGAGGAGTGTCAGGCACATGGCCCCGCTGTCAGGCTCCCCAGTGAGCTGCGGGCTCAGCAGGAGCTGCCCACTGACACACAGGGGACACCCACTCCTGCCACCTTGGGAGCGGTTGCCAGACAGAGCCGCACTGGGTGCTGGTGTCATCCAGGGACCCCACACACTTCCTTAAATGTGATCCTGCTTCCCTCTGCGCAGCTGCATCCTCTCCTCCTGCAGGACTGTCTGGAAACTTGGCTCTCAGTTTGCTCTCCCTTCTCTCCTCTGCCTGTCCCAAGCCCCTCTTTCTAAAAAAGTGATGCCATGTTCATGGGGTTATTTCTTGAAAATACTTGGCGGCCTCCATGCTTCTGTTTTCTTTGAGCCAGGTGGTCAGGAGGGCTTACAAACAATGCCTGGGCTCCCCCGCAGGTGCCGGCAGATGGGGTAGCGAATGGTCCTGTGCCTCCACCTGCTCCGGGAGGGAGTCTCCCGTCTCTAGGCCTGGCCCCTTCCTAACCCTCCACGTATCCTGTTCTCCAGAGACTTCAGAACCCACTCCTGAGAACAGCGGAGCCAGGCGCTTAGAGGAAGACCAAATGCTGCCAGGACACGGATTGTCCAGGATTACATTCCAGCATCTTATTAGGTATCTGGATCTGTTGGGGAAAAAATTAGAAACTATGTATAAAACTTACAAATATTCAAGTATCAAAAGGTTATTTAGGATGAAAGTTTTAAAACAAGTCATCAGCAAGCTGCTACCACCAAGTGGAGACTTATACAAAAGTTGAGCGAGTCCACTGAGCTGAGAGGACAGAAATGAAGTCACCTGTGCTGGGGCAGGGGCAGGGACACTGGGGGCAGGGAGTGTGTGGGCAGAGAAGCCAGAGAAGTCCAGGCCTGTGGAAGCCAAACAGGAGAGCGTGGGCCGGAAGGGCGGTCAGGATCGGGGGACGAGGTCGCTCTCCCTGGAGAACGAACCCTAAGGTGCGTAGCCTGGGGTTCCCTCCCTGGGGGTCCTGTCCCCCGACATTTCACGGGCCTTCTGAGCTGCCTTCCAAGGAGGACTAACACGGCAACAAAAGAACCATTTCTGCACAAAAATCCTTCTGGGAAGAAAAAGAAGAAAGCCAAGAATGGAGTCAAAACGCTACCCAGTGCTGACTAAGCCTCTCAAACCCTGTTCTAGGTGGACTGTGGTTTCTAAGTCAGGGAAATGGAAGAGGCCCCACCCACACAGGGACAGGGCCACGGCCCCCACAGGATGAAGCAGCAGCGTTTATTCAAGATACAACAGTGAGGGAATCCAGTCACGTTCCCTTCTCCCCAGAGAGGGCGCTTCTTGACAAGTGATTCAGTAGAAATCTTTTAGACTCTATAAGTTAAGTTCATAAAAACCACTGCTTTCACCCTGTCTCCCAGGGCCAGGCCTGGACTCTGAGATGAACTGGTTTGGGGCGCCCTCGGGTGGCCACATAAAAAACCCACAGTCTGAGGCCAGCCTGGGGCTTTCAGACCTGGGCGGGATCTGCCCAGGCCACCTGTCCTTCTGCTTTGGGCCGCTGTCTCTTGGCAGATGGCCTGACACCTGGGGGTGGCCCAAGGATGCCTCAGAAAATCTTGATTCCCACTCTACAGATGGCCTGATTAGCCAGAGGTTTCCAGGCCGTCTGTCCGCCTCCAGGAGATGGACTGGGACCTTTAGACATCGGTGGAGAACAGGATGCTCTGTCCCTTGCTGTCCAGGGCAGGGATGGCCTCCAGCCGCAAGAAGTACAGCAGCACCTCGACCTGCCCTCGCGGAGTGGGGAAGAGGAGAGTGGCTCAGAGGGGGGCTCACAGCTGCTGGTGGGAGGTCTTTGGGGCCCAAGCTCCCAAGTCCACCTCAGGTGCTAGAAACCCCTGCTGGTGTCATGAACCCCTTACAGTGAGACGGGGGTGGGGTGGGGTCCTGACAAGGCATGACTTGTTGGGTGGGGGGTGGTTATTTATTTTAGAGATGCACAGGGCCTTGCTCTGTCCCCCAGGCTGGAGTACAGTGGCTCCATCATGGATCACTGCAGCCTCTAACTCCTGGGCTCAAGCAATCCTCCTGTGTCAGCCTCCCAGATACCTAGGATTACAGATATGTGCCCCAATGCCTGCCTAATTTTTCTTTGTATTTTTTCTGGAGATGGGGTTTGCTACATTGCCCAGACTGGTCTCAAACACCTGGGTTCAGTTGTCCTGCCTCGGCCTCCCAAAGTGCTGGGATTACAGGCATGAGCCACCACACTCGAACACTTGGGGTGGTTTTAAGCCCCCAGCAAGGTGCACCAGCAGGACCAGGAGGTGGCCTGGGCACCCCCTATCACTCCCATCCATGCAAACCTAGGCAAGTCCCTGTCTCTGAATCTCAGCCACCACCACATACAATGCAAGTCGGAAGATGGGCAGGACTGGGGGTGGGGCAGGCAGAGGCCACCTCTGTCAGGCTGGGGTTGCATGGGCTGGAGCCTGTCTTCCCATACCTGGGACATGACCTCCAAGGACCAGCTGTCAGTCATGGTGATGGGCTGGCTGGGGTTGGCAGGGAGCTTGCTCTCCTTCTCGGAGGGCCGGAGCAGCGTGGGGCCAAACACCGTGCCAAGGTTGTGCAGGGACATCTTATTGACTGCCTCCTTCTCTGCCATCCTGTAGAGGACCGAAGCAGAGGGTGCTGTTTCAACGCCACCACCAGGAGAGAGGCAGAGGGGCTGTGCCGTGCTAGAGTCCTCAGGGAGGGAGTGACCTCGACCCTGGCTGTGCTGCAAGCTGACTCCAGCCTTGGTACTTCTGGGTCTCAGTGGCCCAGGACAAGGGGCCAGCTCTGGGCTGATGGGGAGGTCTTCATGATGTGCTTGGGAGGGAAGGGGGGGCGGTCCAAATGCACTGCTGGCCACGGCCAAAGCTCTGAGCTCTTTGTTAAGGCCACAGTGCAGAGGGAGGAGGGTGGCAAAGAGGAGAGGCAGGGGCGGGGGTGGCAGTGGTGCTAGTCCTTAGAAGCAGTGAGTTACTGCAGACAGGGGTCAGGGGATAGGTCCTTGGTGCTGGGGGTCTGGTGGGAGCAGAGGGGCACCCCACGGCCTGGAGACCTGGAGTCCTGGGCAGCCACAAGAGAGCTGGGCTACCTTTCCAGGCGGTCTAGAAGGAAAAGGAAGGTGAGCAGGTTGGCCTCCGGCAGGGACGACAGCAGGTTGAGCATGCAGCTCTTCTTTGCAACTGGGTCTGAAAGAGCTGCAGGAGGCAGTGGGTCACTCCTCTGGGTTACGACAAGCCGGAGACCTCTCCCGAGGTGGTCACATGGAGCGCCCGGGACACGAGTCCTTGCGCAGTTTAGGCTTGTCATCATCGTCACACCCACAGCGCTGGCCGCCAGTGAGGACCCTGTGAGGGGCACCTGTGTGGGGTGTGAACCACCTGAACGCCTTTTCTCTGCCTCGCAGGTGTCAGCAGCACCCGGCGAACAGCAGCAGGAGGAGCCGCTAGAGCAGCTGCTCATGGGCAGAGCTGCCCTCGGGCAACTCCTGCCACCACCCCCTCCCCAGGGAGCCCAAGGCAGGGGAGGCTCAGCATGGAATGAAACAGGGGAGTGAGGGACACAAGGAGGTGGGAAGTGGGAGGGTCCCAGCCCCACCAAGTACACAGAGACCCCCTCGACATCCTGGACACCACAGGGGCACCTGCAGGCTGGGAGACCAGGTCCTCTGTGCATGGGCCCGGGAGGCAGACCTGCCCTAAGGGTGATGCACAGGCTACAGGTGCTGCACGCTCCAGCGCCCACTCTAGACATCAGCCTCCAGGTTGACTAAGGGTCAGGTCATGTTTGAAACCATGCTTGGCTGGACCAGGACCCATGGCAAGAGCACCTGGGCACCAGTGTTTAGCCCTGGTCTGCAGGAAGGAGGACAGCAGACTTTAGGACCCCACAGCACGGCAGTGCTGACCATTTCACCCACTTGGCCTCCTTGAGAAATATGGATGGGGACCCCTCTGGGGATGGGCAAGGCCTTCCAGGATAGGCTCAGTTTTGGTCCCCTGCTTTTTGAGGTTGGGTTAAAATTCCGACCATGGCAGAGGAAGCACAGCTCAGGTTCCCACACCTCACTTTTCACAGCCTCTGAGGGCAGCAGTGCACGTGGAGGAGACGTCTCCCATGAGGCCAAGGCCTCCAGTGCTCACCGATGCCCTCTGCGAAGTTGGGGTAGAACTCGTCAGTGAAGAGGGGCTCGGGCAGCTCACGGAAATACAGCTTCAGCGTGCCTGCGATGGCGTTCACGTCCATCTCGCTCATCATCACTGACACGTCCTTGTTATCTGGAAAGAGCACGGAAATGCAGCGGCCTCCTTGAAGATCCTGAGTGAGTCACCCACCATCCCTGCCTTGGCTAAAGCACCGTCCCTGCCATGCTGACCACTGTGTGGGTCCCTCCTGGGCTTTGAGCAGCTCATCTGACTCCTCCCAAGAGCTGTGCATGGTTCTGTGTCTGCAGAGTTGATAGGGGTGCGTGGGCATTCCCATTCCTCTCCCCTGCTTGGCCTGATGTGATGGCCAGGAGGAGGCCAGCATGGCAGGACACAGCGCCTGCATGGGGATTGGGTGGCTCTGCCCTGTACATAGCAACCACCCCTGCACCAGTGTCTTCTGATAGCAGGAAGGCCGTGGGAGAATCTGATTGGTTTCAGTGTTTGAACCGGTGTCTTCCTTTGGACCCAATTGGCCATTGGTGCTTACATCCTCACCACAGGCCAGGTTCATTCTGGGCCCTCAGAGGGAGCTGAAACTACCACAGGGCCCTCCCAGGGATGCTGAGCATTCTAGGGGTCCTGGTCAGGGTGGGTGGTGTGTGCTGCAAAGAAGGGTCTGCAGGCACAAAATCCTGTTGCTTTGAAGATGCTGGGAAGGACCCTCTGGGGTCTCAGTGCCCTCCCCTGGCATTTGAGGCAGGTCCGGGTCCTTCAAAGCCTGTGAGGGTTGGTGAGATGGAGGCGGAGAGGCTGCAGCCCCGGCCTGCGCTGAATTTCATCAGTGCCCTCTGCCCACCACATCCTCATACAGGGCAGTGGACAGACCGCACTGAGTCCTGGGCTTCCACCTCCTGTCCAACCCCAAGGCAGGAAGGCCAAGGCCCCGCAGAAGCCCCTGGTCCACTCCACCAAGTGGCACGAGTGGGTACGATGGTGTAAAAACTGGCTTCTATAGAAGCTGTTTGTACAACTCTTGTTTTCTCTTTTTTAAAAATAATAAAACAGTAAATGAAGAAAAGACACAGAGAAGGATGTGACATGCCTGGGCCATGGAGCACTCTGAGATCTCATCGTGGACACCACTGCCCACACCTCCATCCCGTCCTGCGCAGGCCGACACTCACTGACGTTGAAGGCTGCCTTCAGTGCCTGGATGTCTGCGGCCACCCCAGACATGCGGTAGATGCCCACCTCCTCCATGCCTCGGCGCTCGATCTCCTCCACGCACTGGCGCACGATGTAGGGCACCTTGGACCTCTCTCTCCTGCGGGAGGAGGGAATGTTCTCAGTGTCCTAACAGCCCTGCTTGGGCCATAACACAGGAGACCTGCTCCCTATGTGCACACCCGGAGGTGGGGTGAGGACGGTGATGAAGGTACCCAGGTCTGGGGCTGCACACAGAGCCTTCTGCATGCCTGTCCTCCCTCTGCAAGCTCTGTCCTCATTGCATGTGCTTTCTCAGGAACCTTTCAAGCGGCCAGAACCCCTGCAAATCACACATGACCTTTGTGGGAAGGTCAGGAGGCCTGTCTAAGTCAAGTCAGCACGGGAAGGGCATCTGACAGATTCCAGGCCTGGGGTGAGCAGCCTGTGCCCCCGGCTGGGAGGTCAGACCCGGTGTTGGTCCTGCCACCCACGTGCTGTGTGAGAGGAGAATCCGTGACCCCTGCCCTGGGCCTTAACACACATCCGACGAATGAATGAAGGGTTGCCTCAGCACCGGTGCTCCAAGTCCTGCGATGCTAAGTGCTTTTCTCCTCTGAGTCTTAGCAATGGACAATTCCAATACCTCCACACAGGACACTAGAGTAAGAATCCTTCACAGTTAGAACGCAGTGCTGTGCGGAGGCCTTAACTTGAGTTCTGTTTTGCACCTGGATTTACCAGCACATCAAAGCTGCTTCGCAAGCCCCCTCATCAGCAGGGCTCATGTGGGGGAGCTGCTGATGGAGTCCTCGCTGCT
This sequence comes from Homo sapiens, assembly GCF_000001405.40. Taxonomy (NCBI): domain Eukaryota; kingdom Metazoa; phylum Chordata; class Mammalia; order Primates; family Hominidae; genus Homo; species Homo sapiens. The sequence goes on along the minus strand of NT_187386.1, from coordinate 168 downwards.
CATGCCCACAGCCCTCCCAGAGTGCTATGCGAGTGGCTGCCGTGCAGTTGGGGGTGGGGCGTGGTGTTTAGACACAGATAGGAGTCCAGGGTATGACTGATGGAGGCCCCGGCCCACGTGACCAGCAAGGTCAGAGGCCCAGCCAGATTCCATCCTGAGGAAGCAAGT